>NC_000023.11:61812416-62068000 GCF_000001405.40 Homo sapiens
AAACGGAAGCATTCTCAGAAACTTCTTTGGGATGTTTGCATTCACCTCACAGAGTTGAACTTTCCCTTTGATAGCGCAGCTTTGACACACTTTTTCTACAATGTGCAAGTGGCTATTTAGCGGGCTTGGAGGACTGTGTTGGAAAAGGAAATATCTTCTCCTAAAAACGACATAGAAGCATTCTCAGAAACTGCTCTGTGATGATTGCATTCAACTCCCAGAGTTGAACATTCCTTTTGATAGAGCGGTTTGCAAACACTCTTTTTGTAGAATCTGCAAGTGGAGATTTGGACCGCTTTGAGGCTTGTGGTAGTAAAGGAAAGAACTTCATATAAAAACTGGACGGTAGCACTCTCAGAAAACTCTTTGTGACGTTGGAGTTTAACTCAGGGAGCTGAACATTCGTTATGATGGAGCAGTTTCCAAACACACGTTTTGTAGAATCTGCAAGGGGATATTTGGTCCTCTCTGAGGATTTCGTAGGAAACGGGATCAACTTCCCATAACTGAACGGAAGCAAACTCAGAACATTCTCTGCGATGTTTGTATTCAACCCACAGAGTTGAACTTTTCTTTGATAGTTCAGGTTTGCAACACCCTTGTAGTACATTCTGCAAGTGTATATTTTGACCACTTTGTAGCCTTCTTTTGAAACGTCTATATCTTCACATCAAACCTAGACAGAAGCATTCTCAGAAAGTTTTCTGCGATGACTGCATTCAACTCACAGAGTTGAACAATCCTTTTGATGGAGCAGTTTTGAAACCCTCTTTCTTTGGAATCTGCAAGGGGATATGTGGACCTCTTTGAAGATTTCACTGGAAACGGGATCATCTTCACATAAGAACTAAACAGAAGCATTCTCGGAAACTACTTTGTGATGTTTGTATTCAACTCCCAGAGTTGAACTTTCCTTTTGAAAGAGCAGCTATGAAACACTCTTTTTCGAGAATCTGCAAGTGGACGTTTGGAGGGCTTTGAGGCCTGTGGTGGAAAAGGAAATATCTTCACATAAAAACTAGATAGAAGCATTCTCAGAAACTACTTTGTGAGGATGGCATTCAACTCATGGAGTTGAACAATCCTATTGATAGAGCAGATTGGAATCACTCTTTTTGTAGAATCTGCAAATGGAGATTTGGACTGCTTTGAGGCCTACGGTAGTATAGGAAGGAACTTCATATAAAAGGCAAACGGAAGCATTCTCAGAATATTCTTTGTGATGACGGAGTTTCACTCACAGAGCTGAACATGCCTTTTCATGGAGCAGTTTCCAAATACAGTTTTGGTACAATCTGCAGGTGGATATTTGGAGCTCTCTGAGGATTTCGTTGGAAACGGGAATAATTTCCCATAACTAAACACAAACACGCTGAGAAAGTTCTTCATGATGAATGCATTTAACTCGCAGAGATGAACCTGCCTTTGAGAGTTCAGGTTCGAAACACTCTTTCTGTAGAATCTGCAAGTGGATATTTGGACCACTGGCTGGCCTTCGTTCGAAACGGGTATATGTTCACGTAAAAACTAAAGAGAAGCGTTCTCAGAAACTTCTGAGTGATGATTGCATTCAAGTCACACAGTTGAACCCTTCTTTTGATTGAGCAGTTTTGAAACTGTCTTTTTGTAGAATCTGTAAGTGGATGCGTGGACCTCTTTGAAGATTTCTTTGGAAACGGGAATATTTCCACAGAAAAAGTAAACTGAAGCATTCTCAGAAACCGCTTTGTGATGTTTGTGTTCGAGCCACAGAGTTTAACATTGCTTTTCATAGAGCAGTTTTGAAATATTCTTTTCGCAGAATCTGCAAGTGGACATTTGGAGCGCTTTCAGGCCTGTGGCGGAAAAGGCCTGAAAGCCTTTTCCTTTATCTTCACAGAAAGACGAGAGAGAAGCATTGTCAGAAACTTCTTTGTGATGATTGCATTCAACTCACAGAGTTGAAGATTCCTTTTGAAACAGCAGTTTCGAAACACTCTTTCTGTGGGATCCGCAAGGGGATATTTGGACCTCTTTGAAGGTTTCGTTGGAAACGGGATAATCTTCACCTAAAAGCTAAACGGAAGCATTCTCAGAAACTTCTTTGGGATGTTTGCATTCACCTCACAGAGTTGAACTTTCCCTTTGATAGCGCAGCTTTGACACACGTTTTCTACAATGTGCAAGTGGATATTTAGCGGGCTTGGAGGACTGTGTTGGAAAAGGAAATATCTTCTAAAAACGACATAGAAGCATTCTCAGAAACTGCTCTGTGATGATTGCATTCAACTCCCAGAGTTGAACATTCCTTTTGATAGAGCAGTTTGCAAACACTCTTTTTGTAGAATCTGCAAGTGGAGATTTGGACCGCTTTGAGGCCTGTGGTAGTGAAGGAAAGAACTTCATATAAAAACCAGACGGTAGCACTCTCAGAAAATTCTTTGTGACGATGGAGTTTAACTCAGGGAGCTGAACATTCGTTATGATGGAGCAGTTTCCAAACACACGTTTTGTAGAATCTGCAAGGGGATATTTGGACCTCTCTGAGGATTTCGTTGGAAACGGGATCAACTTCCCATAACTGAACGGAAGCAAACTCAGAACATTCTTTGTGATGTTTGTATTCAACTCACAGAGTTGAACCTTCCTTTGATAGTTCAGGTTTGCAACACCCTTGTAGTAGAATCTGCAAGTGTATATTTTGACCACTTTGTAGCCTTCATTTGAAACGTCTATACCTTCACATCAAACCTAGACAGAAGCATTCTCAGAAAGTTTTCTGCGATGACTGCATTCAACTCACAGAGTTGAACAATCCTTCTGATGGAGCAGTTTTGAAACCCTCTTTCTTTGGAATCTGCAAGGGGATATGTGGACCTCTTTGAAGATTTCACTGGAAACGGGATCATCTTCACATAAAAACTAAACAGAAAGCATTCTCGGAAACTACTTTGTGATGTTTGTATTCAACTCCCAGAGTTGAACTTTCCTTTTGAAAGAGCAGCTATGAAACACTCTTTTTCGAGAATCTGAAAGTGGACGTTTGGAGGGCTTTGAGGCCTGTGGTGGAAAAGGAAATATCTTCACATAAAAACTAGATAGAAGCATTCTCAGAAACGACTTGGTGAGGATGGCATTCAACTCATGGAGTTGAACAATCCTATTGATAGAGCAGATTGGAATCACTCTTTTTGTAGAATCTGCAAATGGAGATTTGGACTGCTTTGAGGCCTACGGTCGTATAGGAAGGAACTTCATATAAAAGGCAAACGGAAGCATTCTCAGAATATTCTTTGTGATGATGGAGTTTCACTCACAGAGCTGAACATGCCTTTTGATGGAGCAGTTTCCAAATACACTTTTGGTAGAATCTGCAGGTGGATATTTGGACCTCTCTGAGGATTTCGTTGGAAACGGGAATAATTTCCCATAACTAAACACAAACACTCTGAGAAAGTTCTTCATGATGAATGCATTTAACTCGCAGAGATGAACCTGCCTTTGAGAGTTCATGTTCGAAACACTCTTTCTGGAGAATCTGCAAGTGGATATTTGGACCACTGGCTGGCCTTCGTTCGAAACGGGTATATGTTCACGTAAAAACTAAAGAGAAGCATTCTCAGAAACTTCTGAGTGATGATTGCATTCAAGTCACACAGTTGAACCCTCCTTTTGATGGAGCAGTTTTGAAACTGTCTTTTTGTAGAATCTGTAAGTGGATACGTGGACCTCTTTGAAGATTTCTTTGGAAACGGGAATATTTCCACAGAAAAACTAAACTGAAGCATTCTCAGAAACCGCTTTGTGATGTTTGTGTTCGAGCCACAGAGTTTAACATTGCTTTTCATAGAGCAGTTTTGAAATATTCTTTTGGCAGAATCTGCAAGTGGACATTTGGAGCGCTTTCAGGCCTGTGGTGGCAAAGGCCTGAACGCCTTTTCCTTTATGTTCACAGAAAGACGAGAGAGAAGCATTGTCAGAAACTTCTTTGTGATGATTGCATTCAACTCACAGAGTTGAAGATTCCTTTTGAAACAGCAGTTTCTAAACACTCTTTCTGTGGGATCCGCAAGGGGATATTTGGACCTCTTTGAAGGTTTCGTTGGAAACGGGATAATCTTCACCTAAAAGCTAAACGGAAGCATTCTCAGAAACTTCTTTGGGATGTTTGCATTCACCTGACAGAGTTGAACTTTCCCTTTGATAGCGCAGCTTTGACACACTTTTTCTACAATGTGCAAGTGGCTATTTAGCGGGCTTGGAGGACTGTGTTGGAAAAGGAAATATCTTCTCCTAAAAACGACATAGAAGCATTCTCAGAAACTGCTCTGTGATGATTGCATTCAACTCCCAGAGTTGAACATTCCTTTTGATAGAGCAGTTTGCAAACACTCTTTTTGTAGAATCTGCAAGTGGAGATTTGGACCGCTTTGAGGCCTGTGGTAGTGAAGGAAAGAACTTCATATAAAAACCAGACGGTAGCACTCTCAGAAAATTCTTTGTGACGATGGAGTTTAACTCAGGGAGCTGAACATTCGTTATGATGGAGCAGTTTCCAAACACACGTTTTGTAGAATCTGCGAGGGGATATTTGGACCTCTCTGAGGATTTCGTTGGAAACGGGATCAACTTCCCATAACTGAACGGAAGCAAACTCAGAACATTCTTTGTGATGTTTGTATTCAACTCACAGAGTTGAACCTTCCTTTGATAGTTCAGGTTTGCAACACCCTTGTAGTAGAATCTGCAAGTGTATATTTTGACCACTTTGTAGCCTTCGTTTGAAACGTCTATATCTTCACATCAAACCTAGAAAGAAGCATTCTCAGAAAGTTTTCTGCGATGACTGCATTCCACTCACAGAGTTGAACAATCCTTCTGATGGAGCAGTTTTGAAACCCTCTTTCTTTGGAATCTGCAAGGGGATATGTGGACCTCTTTGAAGATTTCACTGGAAACGGGATCATCTTCACATAAAAACTAAACAGAAGCATTCTCGGAAACTACTTTGTGATGTTTGTATTCAACTGCCAGAGTTGAACTTTCCTTTTGAAAGAGCAGCTATGAAACACTCTTTTTCGAGAATCTGCAAGTGGACGTTTGGAGGGCTTTGAGGCCTGTGGTGGAAAAGGAAATATCTTCACACAAAAACCAGATAGAAGCATTCTCAGAAACTGCTTTGTGAGGATGGCATTCAACTCATGGAGTTGAACAATCCTATTGATAGAGCAGATTGGAATCACTCTTTTTGTAGAATCTGCAAATGGAGATTTGGACTGCTTTGAGGCCTACGGTAGTACAGGAAGGAACTTCATATAAAAGGCAAACGGAAGCATTCTCAGAATATTCTTTGTGATGATGGAGTTTCACTCACAGAGCTGAACATGCCTTTTGATGGAGCAGTTTCCAAATACACTTTTGGTAGAATCTGCAGGTGGATATTTGGAGCTCTCTGAGGATTTCGTTGGAAAGGGGAATAATTTCCCATAACTAAACACAAACACTCTGAGAAAGTTCTTCATGATGAATGCATTTAACTCGCAGAGATGAACCTGCCTTTGAGAGTTCAGGTTCGAAACACTCTTTCTGTATAATCTGCAAGTGGATATTTGGACCACTGGGTGGCCTTCGTTCGAAACGGGTATATGTTCACGTAAAAACTAAAGAGAAGCGTTCTCAGAAACTTCTGAGTGATGATTGCATTCAAGTCTCACAGTTGAACCCTCCTTTTGATTGAGCAGTTTTGAAACTGTCTTTTTGTAGAATCTGTAAGTGGATGCGTGGACCTCTTTGAAGATTTCTTTGGAAACGGGAATACTTCCACAGAAAAAGTAAACTGAAGCATTCTCAGAAACCGCTTTGTGATGTTTGTGTTCGAGCCACAGAGTTTAACATTGCTTTTCATAGAGCAGTTTTGAAATATTCTTTTGGCAGAATCTGCAAGTGGACATTTGGAGCGCTTTCAGGCCTGTGGTGGAAAAGGCCTGAAAGCCTTTTCCTTTATCTTCACAGAAAGACGAGAGAGAAGCATTGTCAGAAACTTCTTTGTGATGATTGCATTCAACTCACAGAGTTGAAGATTCCTTTTGAAACAGCAGTTTCGAAACACTCTTTCTGTGGGATCCGCAAGGGGATATTTGGACCTACTTTGAAGGTTTCGTTGGAAACGGGATAATCTTCACCTAAAAGCTAAACGGAAGCATTCTCAGAAACTTCTTTGGGATGTTTGCATTCACCTCACAGAGTTGAACTTTCCCTTTGATAGCGCAGCTTTGACACACTTTTTCTACAATGTGCAAGTGGCTATTTAGCGGGCTTGGAGGACTGTGTTGGAAAAGGAAATATCTTCTCCTAAAAACGACATAGAAGCATTCTCAGAAACTGCTCTGTGATGATTGCATTCAACTCCCAGAGTTGAACATTCCTTTTGATAGAGCAGTTTGCAAACACTCTTTTTGTAGAATCTGCAAGTGGAGATTTGGACCGCATTGAGGCCTGTGGTAGTGAAGGAAAGAACTTCATATAAAAACCAGACGGTAGCACTCTCAGAAAATTCTTTGTGACGATGGAGTTTAACTCAGGGAGCTGAACATTCGTTATGATGGAGCAGTTTCCAAACACACGTTTTGTAGAATCTGCAAGGGGATATTTGGACCTCTCTGAGGATTTCGTTGGAAACGGGATCAACTTCCCATAACTGAACGGAAGCAAACTCAGAACATTCTTTGTGATGTTTGTATTCAACTCACAGAGTTGAACCTTCCTTTGATAGTTCAGGTTTGCAACACCCTTGTAGTAGAATCTGCAAGTGTATATTTTGACCACTTTGTAGCCTTCATTTGAAACGTCTATATCTTCACATCAAACCTAGACAGAAGCATTCTCAGAAAGTTTTCTGCGATGACTGCATTCAACTCACAGAGTTGAACAATCCTTCTGATGGAGCAGTTTTGAAACCCTCTTTCTTTGGAATCTGCAAGGGGATATGTGGACCTCTTTGAAGATTTCACTGGAAACGGGATCATCTTCACATAAAAACTAAACAGAAGCATTCTCGGAAACTGTTTTGTGATGTTTGTATTCAACTCCCAGAGTTGAACTTTCCTTTTGAAAGAGCAGCTATGAAACACTCTTTTTCGAGAATCTGCAAGTGGACGTTTGGAGGGCTTTGAGGCCTGTGGTGGAAAAGGAAATATCTTCACATAAAAACTAGATAGAAGCATTCTCAGAAACTACTTTGTGAGGATGGCATTCAACTCATGGAGTTGAACAATCCTATTGATAGAGCAGATTGGAATCACTCTTTTTGTAGAATCTGCAAATGGAGATTTGGACTGCTTTGAGGCCTACGGTCGTATAGGAAGGAACTTCAGATAAAAGGCAAACGGAAGCATTCTCAGAATATTCTTTGTGATGATGGAGTTTCACTCACAGAGCTGAACATGCCTTTTGATGGAGCAGTTTCCAAATACACTTTTGGTAGAATCTGCAGGTGGATATTTGGAGCTCTCTGAGGATTTCGTTGGAAACGGGAATAATTTCCCATAACTAAACACAAACACTCTGAGAAAGTTCTTCATGATGAATGCATTTAACTCGCAGAGATGAACCTGCCTTTGAGAGTTCAGGTTCGAAACACTCTTTCTATATAATCTGCAAGTGGATATTTGGACCACTGGGTGGCCTTCGTTCGAAACGGGTATATGTTCACGTAAAAACTAAAGAGAAGCATTCTCAGAAACTTCTGTGTGATGATTGCATTCAAGTCACACAGTTGAACCCTCCTTTTGATTGAGCAGTTTTGAATCTGTCTTTTTGTAGAATCTGTAAGTGGATATGTGGACCTCTTTGAAGATTTCTTTGGAAATGGGAATATCTCCACAGAAAAACTAAACTGAAGCATTCTCAGAAACTGATTTGTGATGTTTGTGTTCGAGCCACAGAGTTTAACATTGCTTTTCATAGAGCAGTTTTGAAACATTCTGTTCGCAGAATCTGCAAGTGGACATTTGGAGCGCTTTCAGGCCTGTGGTGGAAAAGGTCTGAAAGCCTTTTCCTTTATCTTCACATAAAGACGAGAGAGAAGCATTGCCAGAAACTTCTTTGTGATGATTGCATTCAACTCACAGAGTTGAAGATTCCTTTTGAAACAGCAGTTTCGAAACACTCTTTCTGTGGGATCCACAAGGGGATATTTGGAACTCTTTGAAGATTTCGTTGGAAACGGGATAATCTCACCTAAAAGCTAAACGGAAGCATTCTCAGAAACTTCTTTGGGATGTTTGCATTCACCTCACAGAGTTGAACTTTCCCTTTGATAGCGCAGCTTCGACACACTTTTTCTACAATGTGCAAGTGGCTATTTAGCGGGCTTGGAGGACTGTGTTGGAAAAGGAAATATCTTCTCCTAAAAACGACATAGAAGCATTCTCAGAAACTGCTCTGTGATGATTGCATTCAACTCCCAGAGTTGAACATTCCTTTTGATAGAGCAGTTGGCAAACACTCTTTTTGTAGAATCTGCAAGTGGAGATTTGGACCGCTTTGAGGTCTGTGGTAGTGAAGGAAAGAGCTTCATATAAAAACCAGACGGTAGCACTCTCAGAAAATTCTTTGTGACGATGGAGTTTAACTCAGGGAGCTGAACATTCGTTATGATGGAGCAGTTTCCAAACACACGTTTTGTAGAATCTGCAAGGGGATATTTGGACCTCTCTGAGGATTTCGTTGGAAACGGGATCAACTTCCCATAACTGAACGGAAGCAAACTCAGAACATTCTTTGTGATGTTTGTATTCAATTCACAGAGTTGAACCTTCCTTTGATAGTTCAGGTTTGCAACACCCTTGTAGTAGAATCTGCAAGTGTATATTTTGACCACTTTGTAGCCTTCGTTTGAAACGTCTATATCTTCACATCAAAACTAGACAGAAGCATTCTCAGAAAGTTTTCTGCGATGACTGCATTCAACTCACAGGAGTTGAACAATCCTTCTGATGGAGCAGTTTTTAAACCCTCTTTCTTTGGAATCTGCAAGGGGATATGTGGACCTCTTTGAAGATTTCACTGGAAACGGGATCATCTTCACATAAAAACTAAACAGAAGCATTCTCGGAAACTACTTTGTGATGTTTGTATTCAACTCCCAGAGTTGAACTTTCCTTTTGAAAGAGCAGCTATGAAACACTCTTTTTCGAGAATCTGCAAGTGGACGTTTGGAGGGCTTTGAGGCCTGTGGTGGAAAAGGAAATATCTTCACATAAAAACTAGATAGAAGCATTCTCAGAAACGACTTTGTGAGGATGGCATTCAACTCATGGAGTTGAACAATCCTATTGATAGAGCAGATTGGAATCACTCTTTTTGTAGAATCTGCAAATGGAGATTTGGACTGCTTTGAGGCCTACGGTCGTATAGGAAGGAACTTCATATAAAAGGCAAACGGAAGCATTCTCAGAATATTCTTTGTGATGATGGAGTTTCACTCACAGAGCTGAACATGCCTGTTGATGGAGCAGTTTCCAAATACACTTTTGGTAGAATCTGCAGGTGGACATTTGGACCTCTCTGAGGATTTCGTTGGGAACGGGAATAATTTCCCACAACTAAACACAAACACGCTGAGAAAGTTCTTCATGATGAATGCATTTAACTCGCAGAGATGAACCTGCCTTTGAGAGTTCAGGTTCGAAACACTCTTTCTGTAGAATCTGCAAGTGGACATTTGGACCACTGGGTGGCCTTCGTTCGAAACGGGTATATGTTCACGTAAAAACTAAAGAGAAGCATTCTCAGAAACTTCTGAGTGATGATTGCATTCAAGTCACACAGTTGAACCCTCCTTTTGATTGAGCAGTTTTGAAACTGTCTTTTTGTAGAATCTGTAAGTGGATACGTGGACCTCTTTGAAGATGTCTTTGGAAACGGGAATATTTCCACAGAAAAACTAAACTGAAGCATTCTCAGAAACCGCTTTGTGATGTTTGTGTTCGAGCCACAGAGTTTAACATTGCTTTTCATAGAGCAGTTTTGAAATATTCTTTTGGCAGAATCTGCAAGTGGACATTTGGAGCGCTTTCAGGCCTGTGGTGGAAAAGGCCTGAAAGCCTTTTCCTTTATCTTCACAGAAAGACGAGAGAGAAGCATTGTCAGAAACTTCTTTGTGATGATTGCATTCAACTCACAGAGTTGAAGATTCCTTTTGAAACAGCAGTTTCGAAACACTCTTTCTGTGGGATCTGCAAGGGGATATTTGGACCTCTTTGAAGGTTTCGTTGGAAACGGGATAATCTTCACCTAAAAGCTAAACGGAAGCATTCTCAGAAACTTCTTTGGGATGTTTGCATTCACCTCACAGAGTTGAACTTTCCCTTTGATAGCGCAGCTTTGACACACATTTTCTACAATGTGCAAGTGGCTATTTAGCGGGCTTGGAGGACTGTGTTGGAAAAGGAAATATCTTCTCCTAAAAACGACATAGAAGCATTCTCAGAAACTGCTCTGTGATGATTGCATTCAACTCCCAGAGTTGAACATTCCTTTTGATAGAGCAGTTTGCAAACACTCTTTTTGTAGAAACTGCAAGTGGAGATTTGGACCGCTTTGAGGCCTGTGGTAGTGAAGGAAAGAACTTCATATAAAAACCAGACGGTAGCACTCTCAGAAAATTCTTTGTGACGATGGAGTTTAACTCAGGGAGCTGAACATTCGTTATGATGGAGCAGTTTCCAAACACACGTTTTGTAGAATCTGCAAGGGGATATTTGGACCTCTCTGAGGATTTCGTTGGAAACGGGATCAACTTCCCATAACTGAACGGAAGCAAACTCAGAACATTCTTTGTGATGTTTGTATTCAACTCACAGAGTTGAACCTTCCTTTGATAGTTCAGGTTTGCAACACCCTTGTAGTAGAATCTGCAAGTGTATATTTTGACCACTTTGTAGCCTTCGTTTGAAACGTCTATATCTTCACATCAAACCTAGACAGAAGCATTCTCAGAAAGTTTTCTGCGATGACTGCATTCAACTCACAGAGTTGAACAATCCTTCTGATGGAGCAGTTTTGAAACCCTCTTTCTTTGGAATCTGCAAGGGGATATGTGGACCTCTTTGAAGATTTCACTGGAAACGGGATCATCTTCACATAAAAACTAAACAGAAGCATTCTCGGAAACTACTTTGTGATGTTTGTATTCAACTCCCAGAGTTGAACTTTCCTTTTGAAAGAGCAGCTATGAAACACTCTTTTTCGAGAATCTGCAAGTGGCCGTTTGGAGGGCTTTGAGGCCTGTGGTGGAAAAGGAAATATCTTCACATAAAAACTAGATAGAAGCATTCTCAGAAACTACTTTGTGAGGATGGCATTCAACTCATGGAGTTGAACAATCCTATTGATAGAGCAGATTGGAATCACTCTTTTTGTAGAATCTGCAAATGGAGATTTGGACTGCTTTGAGGCCTACGGTCGTATAGGAAGGAACTTCAGATAAAAGGCAAACGGAAGCATTCTCAGAATGTTCTTTGTGATGATGGAGTTTCACTCACAGAGCTGAACATGCCTTTTGATGGAGCAGTTTCCAAATACACTTTTGGTAGAATCTGCAGGTGGATATTTGGAGCTCTCTGAGGATTTCATTGGAAACGGGAATAATTTCCCATAACTAAACACAAACACTCTGAGAAAGTTCTTCATGATGAATGCATTTAACTCGCAGAGATGAACCTGCCTTTGAGAGTTCAGGTTCGAACCACACTTTCTGTATAATCTGCAAGTGGATATTTGGACCACTGGGTGGCCTTCGTTCGAAACGGGTATATGTTCACGTAAAAACTAAAGAGAAGCATTCTCAGAAACTTCTGAGTGATGATTGCATTCAAGTCACACAGTTGAACCCTCCTTTTGATGGAGCAGTTTTGAAACTGTCTTTTTGTAGAATCTGTAAGTGGATACGTGGACCTCTTTGAAGATTTCTTTGGAAACGGGAATATTTCCACAGAAAAACTAAACTGAAGCATTCTCAGAAACTGCTTTGTGATGTTTGTGTTCGAGCCACAGAGTTTAACATTGCTTTTCATAGAGCAGTTTTGAAATATTCTTTTGGCAGAATCTGCAAGTGGACATTTGGAGCGCTTTCAGGCCTGTGGTGGAAAAGGCCTGAAAGCCTTTTCCTTTATGTTCACAGAAAGACGAGAGAGAAGCATTGTCAGAAACTTCTTTGTGATGATTGCATTCAACTCACAGAGTTGAAGATTCCTTTTGAAACAGCAGTTTCGAAACACTCTTTCTGTGGGATCCGCAAGGGGATATTTGGACCTCTTTGAAGGTTTCGTTGGAAACGGGATAATCTTCACCTAAAAGCTAAACGGAAGCATTCTCAGAAACTTCTTTGGGATGTTTGCATTCACCTCACAGAGTTGAACTTTCCCTTTGATAGCGCAGCTTCGACACACTTTTTCTACAATGTGCAAGTGGCTATTTAGCGGGCTTGGAGGACTGTGTTGGAAAAGGAAATATCTTCTCCTAAAAACGACATAGAAGCATTCTCAGAAACTGCTCTGTGATGATTGCATTCAACTCCCAGAGTTGAACATTCCTTTTGATAGAGCAGTTTGCAAACACTCTTTTTGTAGAATCTGCAAGTGGAGATTTGGACCGCTTTGAGGCCTGTGGTAGTGAAGGAAAGAACTTCATATAAAAACCAGACGGTAGCACTCTCAGAAAATTCTTTGTGACGATGGAGTTTAACTCAGGGAGCTGAACATTCGTTATGATGGAGCAGTTTCCAAACACACGTTTTGTAGAATCTGCAAGGGGATATTTGGACCTCTCTGAGGATTTCGTTGGAAACGGGATCAACTTCCCATAACTGAACGGAAGCAAACTCAGAACATTCTTTGTGATGTTTGTATTCAACTCACAGAGTTGAACCTTCCATTGATAGTTCAGGTTTGCAACACCCTTGTAGTAGAATCTGCAAGTGTATATTTTGACCACTTTGTAGCCCTTCGTTTGAAACGTCTATATCTTCACATCAAACCTAGACAGAAGCATTCTCAGAAAGTTTTCTGCGATGACTGCATTCAACTCACAGAGTTGAACAATCCTTTTGATGGAGCAGTTTTGAAACCCTCTTTCTTTGGAATCTGCAAGGGGATATGTGGACCTCTTTGAAGATTTCACTGGAAACGGGATCATCTTCACATAAGAACTAAACAGAAGCATTCTCGGAAACTACTTTGTGATGTTTGTATTCAACTCCCAGAGTTGAACATTCCTTTTGAAAGAGCAGCTATGAAACACTCTTTTTCGAGAATCTGCAAGTGGACGTTTGGAGGGCTTTGAGGCCTGTGGTGGAAAAGGAAATATCTTCACATAAAAACTAGATAGAAGCATTCTCAGAAACGACTTTGTGAGGATGGCATTCAACTCATGGAGTTGAACAATCCTATTGATAGAGCAGATTGGAATCACTCTTTTTGTAGAATCTGCAAATGGAGATTTGGACTGCTTTGAGGCCTACGGTAGTATAGGAAGGAACTTCATATAAAAGGCAAACGGAAGCATTCTCAGAATATTCTTTGTGATGATGGAGTTTCACTCACAGAGCTGAACATGCCTTTTCATGGAGCAGTTTCCAAATACACTTTTGGTAGAATCTGCAGGTGGATATTTGGAGCTCTCTGAGGATTTCGTTGGAAACGGGAATAATTTTCCATAACTAAACACAAACACGCTGAGAAAGTTCTTCATGATGAATGCATTGAACTCGCAGAGATGAACCTGCCTTTGAGAGTTCAGGTTCGAAACACTCTTTCTGTAGAATCTGCAAGTGGATATTTGGACCACTGGGTGGCCTTCGTTCGAAACGGGTATATGTTCACCTAAAAACTAAAGAGAAGCATTCTCAGAAACTTCTGAGTGATGATTGCATTCAAGTCACACGGTTGAACCCTCCTTTTGATGGAGCAGTTTTGAAACTGTCTTTTTGTAGAATCTGTAAGTGGATACGTGGACCTCTTTGAAGATTTCTTTGGAAACGGGAATATTTCCACAGAAAAACTAAACTGAAGCATTCTCAGAAACTGCTTTGTGATGTTTGTGTTCGAGCCACAGAGTTTAACATTGCTTTTCATAGAGCAGTTTTGAAATATTCTTTTGGCAGAATCTACAAGTGGACATTTGGAGCGCTTTCAGGCCTGTGGTGGCAAAGGCCTGAAAGCCTTTTCCTTTATCTTCACAGAAAGACGAGAGAGAAGCATTGTCAGAAACTTCTTTGTGATGATTGCATTCAACTCACAGAGTTGAAGATTCCTTTTGAAACAGCAGTTTCGAAACACTCTTTCTGTGGGATCCGCAAGGGGATATTTGGACCTACTTTGAAGGTTTCGTTGGAAACGGGATAATCTTCACCTAAAAGCTAAACGGAAGCATTCTCAGAAACTTCTTTGGGATGTTTGCATTCACCTCACAGAGTTGAACTTTCCCTTTGATAGCGCAGCTTTGACACACTTTTTCTACAATGTGCAAGTGGCTATTTAGCGGGCTTGGAGGACTGTGTTGGAAAAGGAAATATCTTCTCCTAAAAACGACATAGAAGCATTCTCAGAAACTGCTCTGTGATGATTGCATTCAACTCCCAGAGTTGAACATTCCCTTTTGATAGAGCAGTTTGCAAACACTCTTTTTGTAGAATCTGCAAGTGGAGATTTGGACCGCTTTGAGGCCTGTGGTAGTGAAGGAAAGAACTTCATATAAAAACCAGACGGTAGCACTTTCAGAAAATTCTTTGTGACGATGGAGTTTAACTCAGGGAGCTGAACATTCGTTATGATGGAGCAGTTTCCAAACACACGTTTTGTAGAATCTGCAAGGGGATATTTGGACCTCTCTGAGGATTTCGTTGGAAACGGGATCAACTTCCCATAACTGAACGGAAGCAAACTCAGAACATTCTTTGTGATGTTTGTATTCAACTCACAGAGTTGAACCTTCCTTTGATAGTTCAGGTTTGCAACACCCTTGTAGTAGAATCTGCAAGTGTATATTTTGACCACTTTGTAGCCTTCGTTTGAAACGTCTATATCTTCACATCAAACCTAGACAGAAGCATTCTCAGAAAGTTTTCTGCGATGACTGCATTCAACTCACAGAGTTGAACAATCCTTCTGATGGAGCAGGTTTGAAACCCTCTTTCTTTGGAATCTGCAAGGGGATATGTGGACCTCTTTGAAGATTTCACTGGAAACGGGATCATCTTCACATAAAAACTAAACAGAAGCATTCTCGGAAACTACTTTGTGATGTTTGTATTCAACTCCCAGAGTTGAACTTTCCTTTTGAAAGAGCAGCTATGAAACACTCTTTTTCGAGAATCTGCAAGTGGACGTTTGGAGGGCTTTGAGGCCTGTGGTGGAAAAGGAAATATCTTCACATAAAAACTAGATAGAAGCATTCTCAGAAACTACTTTGTGAGGATGGCATTCAACTCATGGAGTTGAACAATCATATTGATAGAGCAGATTGGAATCACTCTTTTTGTAGAATCTGCAAATGGAGATTTGGACTGCTTTGAGGCCTACGGTAGTATAGGAAGGAACTTCATATAAAAGGCAAACGGAAGCATTCTCAGAATATTCTTTGTGATGATGGAGTTTCACTCACAGAGCTGAACATGCCTTTTGAGATGGGAGCAGTTTCCAAATACACTTTTGGTAGAATCTGCAGGTGGATATTTGGAGCTCTCTGAGGATTTCGTTGGAAACGGGAATAATTTCCCATAACTAAACACAAACACTCTGAGAAAGTTCTTCATGATGAATGCATTTAACTCGCAGAGATGAACCTGCCTTTGAGAGTTCAGGTTCGAAACACTCTTTCTGTAGAATCTGCAAGTGGATATTTGGACCACTGGCTGGCCTTCGTTCGAAACGGGTATATGTTCACGTAAAAACTAAAGAGAAGCATTCTCAGAAACTTCTGAGTGATGATTGCATTCAAGTCACACAGTTGAACCCTCCTTTTGATGGAGCAGTTTTGAAACTGTCTTTTTGTAGAATCTGTAAGTGGATATGTGGACCTCTTTGAAGATTTCTTTGGAAACGGGAATATTTCCACAGAAAAACTAAACTGAAGCATTCTCAGAAACCGCTTTGTGATGTTTGTGTTCGAGCCACAGAGTTTAACATTGCTTTTCATAGAGCAGTTTTGAAATATTCTTTTGGCAGAATCTGCAAGTGGACATTTGGAGCGCTTTCAGGCCTGTGGTGGAAAAGGCCTGAAAGCCTTTTCCTTTATCTTCACAGAAAGACGAGAGAGAAGCATTGTCAGAAACTTCTTTGTGATGATTGCATTCAACTCACAGAGTTGAAGATTCCTTTTGAAACAGCAGTTTCGAAACACTCTTTCTGTGGGATCCGCAAGGGGATATTTGGACCTCTTTGAAGGTTTCGTTGGAAACGGGATAATCTTCACCTAAAAGCTAAACGGAAGCATTCTCAGAAACTTCTTTGGGATGTTTGCATTCACCTCACAGAGTTGAACTTTCCCTTTGATAGCGCAGCTTCGACACACTTTTTCTACAATGTGCAAGTGGATATTTAGCGGGCTTGGAGGACTGTGTTGGAAAAGGAAATATCTTCTCCTAAAAACGACATAGAAGCATTCTCAGAAACTGCTCTGTGATGATTGCATTCAACTCCCAGGGTTGAACATTCCTTTTGATAGAGCAGTTTGCAAACACTCTTTTTGTAGAATCTGCAAGTGGAGATTTGGACCGCTTTGAGGCCTGTGGTAGTAAAGGAAAGAACTTCCTATAAAAACTAGACGGTAGCACTCTCAGAAAATTCTTTGTGACGATGGAGTTTAACTCAGAGAGCTGAACATTCGTTATGATGGAGCAGTTTCCAAACACACGTTTTGTAGAATCTGCAAGGGGATATTTGGACCTCTCTGAGGATTTCGTTGGAAACGGGATCAACTTCCCATAACTGAACGGAAGCAAACTCAGAACATTCTTTGTGATGTTTGTATTCAACTCACAGAGTTGAACCTTCCTTTGATAGTTCAGGTTTGCAACACCCTTGTAGTAGAATCTGCAAGTGTATATTTTGACCACTTTGTAGCCTTCGTTTGAAACGTCTATATCTTCACATCAAACCTAGACAGAAGCATTCTCAGAAAGTTTTCTGCCATGACTGCATTCAACTCACAGAGTTGAACAATCCTTCTGATGGAGCAGTTTTGAAACCCTCTTTCTTTGGAATCTGCAAGGGGATATGTGGACCTCTTTGAAGATTTCACTGGAAACGGGATCATCTTCACATAAAAACTAAACAGAAGCATTCTCGGAAACTACTTTGTGATGTTTGTATTCAACTCGCAGAGTTGAACTTTCCTTTTGAAAGAGCAGCTATGAAACACTCTTTTTCGAGAATCTGCAAGTGGACGTTTGGAGGGCTTTGAGGCCTGTGGTGGAAAAGGAAATATCTTCACATAAAAACTAGATAGAAAGCATTCTCAGAAACGACTTTGTGAGGATGGCATTCAACTCATGGAGTTGAACAATCCTATTGATAGAGCAGATTGGAATCACTCTTTTTGTAGAATCTGCAAATGGAGATTTGGACTGCTTTGAGGCCTACGGTCGTATAGGAAGGAACTTCATATAAAAGGCAAACGGAAGCATTCTCAGAATATTCTTTGTGATGATGGAGTTTCACTCACAGAGCTGAACATGCCTTTTGATGGAGCAGTTTCCAAATACACTTTTGGTAGAATCTGCAGGTGGATATTTGGAGCTCTCTGAGGATTTCGTTGGAAACGGGAATAATTTCCCATAACTAAACACAAACACGCTGAGAAAGTTCTTCATGATGAATGCATTTAACTCGCAGAGATGAACCTGCCTTTGAGAGTTCAGGTTCGAAACACTCTTTCTGTAGAATCTGCAAGTGGATATTTGGACCACTGGCTGGCCTTCGTTCGAAACGGGTATATGTTCACGTAAAAACTAAAGAGAAGCGTTCTCAGAAACTTCTGAGTGATGATTGCATTCAAGTCACACAGTTGAACCCTCCTTTTGATTGAGCAGTTTTGAAACTGTCTTTTTGTAGAATCTGTAAGTGGATGCGTGGACCTCTTTGAAGATTTCTTTGGAAACGGGAATATTTCCACAGAAAAACTAAACTGAAGCATTCTCAGAAACTGCTTTGGATGTTTGTGTTCGAGCCACCGAGTTTAACATTGCTTTTCATAGAGCAGTTTTGAAATATTCTTTTGGCAGAATCTGCAAGTGGACATTTGGAGCGCTTTCAGGCCTGTGGTGGAAAAGGCCTGAAAGCCTTTTCCTTTATCTTCACAGAAAGACGAGAGAGAAGCATTGTCAGAAACTTCTTTGTGATGATTGCATTCAACTCACAGAGTTGAAGATTCCTTTTGAAACAGCAGTTTCGAAACACTCTTTCTGTGGGATCCGCAAGGGGATATTTGGACCTCTTTGAAGATTTCGTTGGAAACGGGATAATCTTCACCTAAAAGCTAAATGGAAGCATTCTCAGAAACTTCTTTGGGATGTTTGCATTCACCTCACAGAGTTGACCTTTCCCTTTGATAGCACAGCTTCGACACACTTTTTCTACAATGTGCAAGTGGATATTTAGCGGGCTTGGAGGACTGTGTTGGAAAAGGAAATATCTTCTCCTAAAAACGACATAGAAGCATTCTCACAAACTGCTCTGTGATGATTGCATTCAACTCCCAGAGTTGAACATTCCTTTTGATAGAGCAGTTTGCAAACACTCTTTTTGTAGAATCTGCAAGTGGAGATTTGGACCGCTTTGAGGCCTGTGGTAGTAAAGGAAAGAACTTCCTATAAAAACTAGACGGTAGCACTCTCAGAAAATTCTTTGTGACGATGGAGTTTAACTCAGAGAGCTGAACATTCGTTATGATGGAGCAGTTTCCAAACACACGTTTTGTAGAATCTGCAAGGGGATATTTGGACCTCTCTGAGGATTTCGTTGGAAACGGGATCAACTTCCCATAACTGAACGGAAGCAAACTCAGAACATTCTTTGTGATGTTTGTATTCAACTCACAGAGTTGAACCTTCCTTTGATAGTTGAGGTTTGCAACACCCTTGTAGTAGAATCTGCAAGTGTATATTTTGACCACTTTGTAGCCTTCGTTTGAAACGTCTATATCTTCACCTCAAACCTAGACAGAAGCATTCTCAGAAAGTTTTCTGCGATGACTGCATTCAACTCACAGAGTTGAACAATCCTTCTGATGGAGCAGTTTTGAAACCCTCTTTCTTTGGAATCTGCAAGGGGATATGTGGACCTCTTTGAAGATTTCACTGGAAACGGGATCATCTTCACATAAAAACTAAACAGAAGCATTCTCGGAAACTACTTTGTGATGTTTGTATTCAACTCCCAGAGTTCAACTTTCCTTTTGAAAGAGCAGCTATGAAACACTCTTTTTCGAGAATCTGCAAGTGGACGTTTGGAGGGCTTGGAGGCCTGTGGTGGAAAAGGAAATACCTAAACATAAAAACTAGATAGAAGCATTCTCAGAAACTACTTTGTGAGGATGGCATTCAACTCATGGAGTTGAACAATCCTATTGATAGAGCAGATTGGAATCACTCTTTTTATAGAATCTGCAAATGGAGATTTGGACTGCTTTGAGGCCTACGGTAGTACAGGAAGGAACTTCATATAAAAGGCAAACGGAAGCATTCTCAGAATATTCTTTGTGATGATGGAGTTTCACTCACAGAGCTGAACATGCCTTTTGATGGAGCAGTTTCCAAATACACTTTTGGTAGAATCTGCAGGTGGATATTTGGAGCTCTCCTGAGGATTTCGTTGGAAACGGGAATAATTTCCCATAACTAAACACAAAACACTCTGAGAAAGTTCTTCATGATGAATGCATTTAACTCGCAGAGATGAACCTGCCTTTGAGAGTTCAGGTTCGAAACACTCTTTCTGTATAATCTGCAAGTGGATATTTGGACCACTGGGTGGCCTTCGTTCGAAACGGGTATATGTTCACGTAAAAACTAAAGAGAAGCATTCTCAGAAACTTCTGAGTGATGATTGCATTCAAGTCACACAGTTGAACCCTCCTTTTGATGGAGCAGTTTTGAAACTGTCTTTTTGTAGAATCTGTAAGTGGATACGTGGACCTCTTTGAAGATTTCTTTGAAAACGGGAATATTTCCACAGAAAAACTAAACTGAAGCATTCTCAGAAACCGCTTTGTGATGTTTGTGTTTGAGCCGCAGAGTTTAACATTGCTTTTCATAGAGCAGTTTTGAAATATTCTTTTGGCAGAATCTGCAAGTGGACATTTGGAGCGCTTTCAGGCCTGTGGTGGAAAAGGCCTGAAAGCCTTTTCCTTTATCTTCACAGAAAGACGAGAGAGAAGCATTGTCAGAAACTTCTTTGTGATGATTGCATTCAACTCACAGAGTTGAAGATTCCTTTTGAAACAGCAGTTTCGAAACACTCTTTCTGTGGGATCCGCAAGGGGATATTTGGACCTCTTTGAAGGTTTCGTTGGAAACGGGATAATCTTCACCTAAAAGCTAAACGGAAGCATTCTCAGAAACTTCTTTGGGATGTTTGCATTCACCTCACAGAGTTGAACTTTCCCTTTGATAGCGCAGCTTTGACACACTTTTTCTACAATGTGCAAGTGGCTATTTAGCGGGCTTGGAGGACTGTGTTGGAAAAGGAAATATCTTCTCCTAAAAACGACATAGAAGCATTCTCAGAAACTGCTCTGTGATGATTGCATTCAACTCCCAGAGTTGAACATTCCTTTTGATAGAGCAGTTTGCAAACACTCTTTTTGTAGAATCTGCAAGTGGAGATTTGGACCGCTTTGAGGCCTGTGGTAGTGAAGGAAAGAACTTCATATAAAAACCAGACGGTAGCACTCTCAGAAAATTCTTTGTGACGATGGAGTTTAACTCAGGGAGCTGAACATTCGTTATGATGGAGCAGTTTCCAAAAACACGTTTTGTAGAATCTGCAAGGGGATATTTGGACCTCTCTGAGGATTTCGTTGGAAACGGGATCAACTTCCCATAACTGAACGGAAGCAAACTCAGAACATTCTTTGTGATGTTTGTATTCAACTCACAGAGTTGAACCTTCCTTTGATAGTTCAGGTTTGCAACACCCTTGTAGTAGAATCTGCAAGTGTATATTTTGACCACTTTGTAGCCTTCGTTTGAAACGTCTATATCTTCACATCAAACCTAGACAGAAGCATTCTCAGAAAGTTTTCTGCGATGACTGCATTCTACTCACAGAGTTGAGCAATCCTTTTGATGGAGCAGTTTTGAAACCCACTTTCTTTGGAATCTGCAAGGGCATATGTGGACCTCTTTGAAGATTTCACTGGAAACGGGATCATCTTCACATAAGAACTAAACAGAAGCATTCTCGGAAACTACTTTGTGATGTTTGTATTCAACTCCCAGAGTTGAACTTTCCTTTTGAAAGAGCAGCTATGAAACACTCTTTTTCGAGAATCTGCAAGTGGACGTTTGGAAGGCTTTGAGGCCTGTGGTGGAAAAGGAAATATCTTCACATAAAAACTAGATAGAAGCATTCTCAGAAACTACTTTGTGAGGATGGCATTCAACTCATGGAGTTGAACAGTCCTATTGATAGAGCAGATTGGAATCACTCTTTTTGTAGAATCTGCAAATGGAGATTTGGACTGCTTTGAGGCCTACGGTAGTATAGGAAGGAACTTCATATAAAAGGCAAACGGAGGCATTCTCAGAATATTCTTTGTGATGATGGAGTTTCACACACAGAGCTGAACATGCCTTTTGATGGAGCAGTTTCCAAATACACTTTTGGTAGAATCTGCAGGTGGATATTTGAACCTCTCTGAGGATTTCGTTGGAAACGGGAATAATTTCCCATAACTAAACACAAACACGCTGAGAAAGTTCTTCATGATGAATGCATTTAACTCGCAGAGATGAACCTGCCTTTGAGAGTTCAGGTTCGAAACACTCTTTCTGTATAATCTGCAAGTGGATATTTGGACCACTGGGTGGCCTTCGTTCGAAACGGGTATATGTTCACGTAAAAACTAAAGAGAAGCATTCTCAGAAACTTCTGAGTGATGATTGCATTCAAGTCACACAGTTGAACCCTCCTTTTGATGGAGCAGTTTTGAAACTGTCTTTTTGTAGAATCTGTAAGTGGATACGTGGACCTCTTTGAAGATTTCTTTGGAAACGGGAATATTTCCACAGAAAAACTAAACTGAAGCATTCTCAGAAACTGCTTTGTGATGTTTGCGTTCGAGCCACAGAGTTTAACATTGCTTTTCATAGAGCAGTTTTGAAATATTCTTTTCGCAGAATCTGCAAGTGGACATTTGGAGCGCTTTCAGGCCTGTGGTGGAAAAGGCCTGAAAGCCTTTTCCTTTATCTTCACAGAAAGACGAGAGAGAAGCATTGTCAGAAACTTCTTTGTGATGATTGCATTCAACTCACAGAGTTGAAGATTCCTTTTGAAACAGCAGTTTCGAAACACTCTTTCTGTGGGATCCGCAAGGGGATATTTGGACCTCTTTGAAGGTTTCGTTGGAAACGGGATAATCTTCACCTAAAAGCTAAACGGAAGCATTCTCAGAAACTTCTTTGGGATGTTTGCATTCACCTCACAGAGTTGAACTTTCCCTTTGATAGCGCAGCTTTGACACACTTTTTCTACAATGTGCAAGTGGCTATTTAGCGGACTTGGAGGACTGTGTTGGAAAAGGAAATATCTTCTCCTAAAAACGACATAGAAGCATTCTCAGAAACTGCTCTGTGATGATTGCATTCAACTCCCAGAGTTGAACATTCCTTTTGATAGAGCAGTTTGCAAACACTCTTTTTGTAGAATCTGCAAGTGGAGATTTGGACCGCTTTGAGGCCTGTGGTAGTGAAGGGAAGAGCTTCATATAAAAACCAGACGGTAGCACTCTCAGAAAATTCTTTGTGACGATGGAGTTTAACTCAGGGAGCTGAACATTCGTTATGATGGAGCAGTTTCCAAACACACGTTTTGTAGAATCTGCAAGGGGATATTTGGACCTCTCTGAGGATTTCGTTGGAAACGGGATCAACTTCCCATAACTGAACGGAAGCAAACTCAGAACATTCTTTGTGATGTTTGTATTCAACTGACGGAGTTGAAACTTCCTTTGATAGTTCAGGTTTGCAACACCCTTGTAGTAGAATCTGCAGGTGTATATTTTGACCACTTTGTAGCCTTCGTTTGAAACGTCTATATCTTCACATCAAACCTAGACAGAAGCATTCTCAGAAAGTTTTCTGCGATGACTGCATTCAACTCACAGAGTTGAACAAACCTTCTGATGGAGCAGTTTTGAAACCCTCTTTCTTTGGAATCTGCAAGGGGATATGTGGACCTCTTTGAAGATTTCACTGGAAACGGGATCATCTTCACATAAAAACTAAACAGAAGCATTCTCGGAAACTACTTTGTGATGTTTGTATTCAACTCCCAGAGTTGAACTTTCCTTTTGAAAGAGCAGCTATGAAACACTCTTTTTCGAGAATCTGCAAGTGGACGTTTGGAGGGCTTTGAGGCCTGTGGTGGAAAAGGAAATATCTTCACATAAAAACTAGATAGAAGCATTCTCAGAAACGACTTTGTGAGGATGGCATTCAACTCATGGAGTTGAACAATCCTATTGATAGAGCAGATTGGAATCACTCTTTTTGTAGAATCTGCAAATGGAGATTTGGACTGCTTTGAGGCCTACGGTCGTATAGGAAGGAACTTCATATAAAAGGCAAACGGAAGCATTCTCAGAATATTCTTTGTGATGATGGAGTTTCACTCACAGAGCGGAACATGCCTTTTGATGGAGCAGTTTCCAAATACACTTTTGGTAGAATCTGCAGGTGGATATTTGGAGCTCTCTGAGGATTTCGTTGGAAACGGGAATAATTTCCCATAACTAAACACAAACACTCTGAGAAAGTTCTTCATGATGAATGCATTTAACTCGCAGAGTATGAACCTGCCTTTGAGAGTTCATGTTCGAAACACTCTTTCTGTAGAATCTGCAAGTGGATATTTGGACCACTGGCTGGCCTTCGTTCGAAACGGGTATATGTTCACGTAAAAACTAAAGAGAAGCATTCTCAGAAACTTCTGAGTGATGATTGCATTCAAGTCACACAGTTGAACCCTCCTTTTGATGGAGCAGTTTTGAAACTGTCTTTTTGTAGAATCTGTAAGTGGATACGTGGACCTCTTTGAAGATTTCTTTGGAAACGGGAATATTTCCACAGAAAAACTAAACTGAAGCATTCTCAGAAACCTCTTTGTGATGTTTGTGTTCGAGCCACAGAGTTTAACATTGCTTTTCATAGAGCAGTTTTGAAATATTCTTTTCGCAGAATCTGCAAGTGGACACTTGGAGCGCTTTCAGGCCTGTGGTGGCAAAGGCCTGAAAGCCTTTTCCTTTATCTTCACAGAAAGACGAGAGAGAAGCATTGTCAGAAACTTCTTTGTGATGATTGCATTCAACTCACAGAGTTGAAGATTCCTTTTGAAACAGCAGTTTCGAAACACTCTTTCTGTGGGATCCGCAAGGGGATATTTGGACCTCTTTGAAGGTTTCGTTGGAAACGGGATAATCTTCACCTAAAAGCTAAACGGAAGCATTCTCAGAAACTTCTTTGGGATGTTTGCATTCACCTCACAGAGTTGAACTTTCCCTTTGATAGCGCAGCTTCGACACACTTTTTCTACAATGTGCAAGTGGCTATTTAGCGGGCTTGGAGGACTGTGTTGGAAAAGGAAATATCTTCTCCTAAAAACGACATAGAAGCATTCTCAGAAACTGCTCTGTGATGATTGCATTCAACTCCCAGAGTTGAACATTCCTTTTGATAGAGCAGTTTGCAGACACTCTTTTTGTAGAATCTGCAAGTGGAGATTTGGACCGCTTTGAGGCCTGTGGTAGTAAAGGAAAGAACTTCATATAAAAACTAGACGGTAGCACTCTCAGAAAATTCTTTGTGACGATGGAGTTTAACTCAGGGAGCTGAACATTCGTTATGATGGAGCAGTTTCCAAACACACGTTTTGTAGAATCTGCAAGGGGATATTTGGACCTCTCTGAGGATTTCGTTGGAAACGGGATCAACTTCCCATAACTGAACGGAAGCAAACTCAGAACATTCTTTGCGATGTTTGTATTCAACCCACAGAGTTGAACCTTCCTTTGATAGTTCAGGTTTGCAACACCCTTGTAGTAGAATCTGTAAGTGTATATTTTGACCACTTTGTAGCCTTCGTTTTAAACGTCTATAACTTCACATCAAACCTAGACAGAAGCATTCTCAGAAAGTTTTCTGCGATGACTGCATTCAACTCACAGAGTTGAACAATCCTTTTGATGGAGCAGTTTTGAAACCCTCTTTCTTTGGAATCTGCAAGGGGATATGTGGACCTCTTTGAAGATTTCACTGGAAACGGGATCATCTTCACATAAGAACTAAACAGAAGCATTCTCGGAAACTACTTTGTGATGTTTGTATTCAACTCCCAGAGTTGAACTTTCCTTTTGAAAGAGCAGCTATGAAACACTCTTTTTCGAGAATCTGCAAGTGGACGTTTGGAGGGCTTTGAGGCCTGTGGTGGAAAAGGAAATATCTTCACATAAAAACTAGATAGAAGCATTCTCAGAAACGACTTTGTGAGGATGGCATTCAACTCATGGAGTTGAACAATCCTATTGATAGAGCAGATTGGAATCACTCTTTTTGTAGAATCTGCAAAAGGAGATTTGGACTGCTTTGAGGCCTACGGTAGTATAGGAAGGAGCTTCATATAAAAGGCAAACGGAAGCATTCTCAGAATATTCTTTGTGATGATGGTGTTTCACTCACATAGCTGAACATGCCTTTTGATGGAGCAGTTTCCAAATACACTTTTGGTAGAATCTGCAGGTGGATATTTGGAGCTCTCTGAGGATTTCGTTGGAAACGGGAATAATTTCCCATAACTAAACACAAACACGCTGAGAAAGTTCTTCATGATGAATGCATTTAACTCGCAGAGATGAACCTGCCTTTGAGAGTTCAGGTTTGAAACACTCTTTCTGTAGAATCTGCAAGTGGATATTTGGACCACTGGCTGGCTTTCGTTCGAAACGGGTATATGTTCACGTAAAAACTAAAGAGAAGCATTCTCAGAAACTTCTGAGTGATGATTGCATTCAAGTCACACAGTTGAACCCTCCTTTTGATGGAGCAGTTTTGAAACTGTCTTTTTGTAGAATCTGTAAGTGGATACGTGGACCTCTTTGAAGATTTCTTTGGAAACGGGAATATTTCCACAGAAAAACTAAACTGAAACATTCTCAGAAACTGCTTTGTGATGTTTGTGTTCCAGCCACAGAGTTTAACATTGCTTTTCATAGAGCAGTTTTGAAATATTCTTTTCGCAGAATCTGCAAGTGGACATTTGGAGCGCTTTCAGGCCTGTGGTGGAAAAGGCCTGAAAGCCTTTTCCTTTATCTTCACAGAAAGACGAGAGAGAAGCATTGTCAGAAACTTCTTTGTGATGATTGCATTCAACTCACAGAGTTGAAGATTCCTTTTGAAACAGCAGTTTCGAAACACTCTTTCTGTGGGATCCGCAAGGGGATATTTGGACCTCTTTGAAGGTTTCGTTGGAAACGGGATAATCTTCACCTAAAAGCTAAACGGAAGCATTCTCAGAAACTTCTTTGGGATGTTTGCATTCACCTCACAGAGTTGAACTTTCCCTTTGATAGCGCAGCTTTGACACACTTTTTCTACAATGTGCAAGTGGCTATTTAGCGGGCTTGGAGGACTGTGTTGGAAAAGGAAATATCTTCTCCTAAAAACGACATAGAAGCATTCTCAGAAACTGCTCTGTGATGATTGCATTCAACTCCCAGAGTTGAACATTCCTTTTGATAGAGCAGTTTGCAAACACTCTTTTTGTAGAATCTGGAAGTGGAGATTTGGACCGCTTTGAGGCCTGTGGTAGTGAAGGAAAGAACTTCATATAAAAACCAGACGGTAGCACTCTCAGAAAATTCTTTGTGACGATGGAGTTTAACTCAGGGAGCTGAACATTCGTTATGATGGAGCAGTTTCCAAACACACGTTTTGTAGAATCTGCAAGGGGATATTTGGACCTCTCTGAGGATTTCGTTGGAAACGGGATCAACTTCCCATAACTGAACGGAAGCAAACTCAGAACATTCTTTGTGATGTTTGTATTCAACTCACAGAGTTGAACCTTCCTTTGATAGTTCAGGTTTGCAACACCCTTGTAGTAGAATCTGCAAGTGTATATTTTGACCACTTTGTAGCCTTCATTTGAAACGTCTATATCTTCACATCAAACCTAGACAGAAGCATTCTCAGAAAGTTTTCTGCGATGACTGCATTCAACTCACAGAGTTGAACAATCCTTTTGATGGAGCAGTTTTGAAACCCTCTTTCTTTGGAATCTGCAAGGGGATATGTGGACCTCTTTGAAGATTTCACTGGAAACGGGATCATCTTCACATAAGAACTAAACAGAAGCATTCTCGGAAACTACTTTGTGATGTTTGTATTCAACTCCCAGAGTTGAAATTTCCTTTTGAAAGAGCAGCTATGAAACACACTTTTTCGAGAATCTGCAAGTGGACGTTTGGAGGGCTTTGAGGCCTGTGGTGGAAAAGGAAATATCTTCACATAAAAACTAGATAGAAGCATTCTCAGAAACGACTTTGTGAGCATGGCATTCAACTCATGGAGTTGAACAATCCTATTGATAGAGCAGATTGGAATCACTCTTTTTGTAGAATCTGCAAATGGAGATTTGGACTGCTTTGAGGCCTACGGTAGTATAGGAAGGAACTTCATATAAAAGGCAAATGGAAGCATTCTCAGAATATTCTTTGTGATGATGGAGTTTCACTCACAGAGCTGAACATGCCTTTTGATGGAGCAGTTTCCAAATACACTTTTGGTAGAATCTGCAGGTGGATATTTGGACCTCTCTGAGGATTTCGTTGGAAACGGCAATAATTTCCCATACCTAAACACAAACACTCTGAGAAAGTTCTTCATGATGAATGCATTTAACTCGCAGAGATGAACCTGCCTTTGAGAGTTCAGGTTCGAAACACTCTTTCTGTAGAATCTGCAAGTGGATATTTGGACCACTGGCTGGCCTTCGTTCGAAACGGGTATATGTTCACGTAAAAACTAAAGAGAAGCGTTCCCAGAAACTTCTGAGTGATGATTGCATTCAAGTCACACAGTTGAACCCTCCTTTTGATTGAGCAGTTTTGAAACTGTCTTTTTGTAGAATCTGTAAGTGGATGCGTGGACCTCTTTGAAGATTTCTTTGGAAACGGGAATATTTCCACAGAAAAAGTAAACTGAACATTCTCAGAAACCGCTTTGTGATGTTTGTGTTCGAGCCACAGAGTTTAACATTGCTTTTCATAGAGCAGTTTTGAAATATTCTTTTGGCAGAATCTGCAAGTGGACATTTGGAGCGCTTTCAGGCCTGTGGTGGCAAAGGCCTGAAAGCCTTTTCCTTTATCTTCACAGAAAGACGAGAGAGAAGCATTGTCAGAAACTTCTTTGTGATGATTGCATTCAACTCACAGAGTTGAAGATTCCTTTTGAAACAGCAGTTTCGAAACACTCTTTCTGTGGGATCCGCAAGGGGATATTTGGACCTCTTTGAAGATTTCGTTGGAAACGGGATAATCTTCACCTAAAAGCTAAACGGAAGCATTCTCAGAAACTTCTTTGGGATGTTTGCATTCACCTCACAGAGTTGAACTTTCCCTTTGATAGCGCAGCTTCGACACACTTTTTCTACAATGTGCAAGTGGCTATTTAGCGGGCTTGGAGGACTGTGTTGGAAAAGGAAATATCTTCTCCTAAAAACGACATAGAAGCATTCTCAGAAACTGCTCTGTGATGATTGCATTCAACTCCCAGAGTTGAACATTCCTTTTGATAGAGCAGTTTGCAAACACTCTTTTTGTAGAATCTGCAAGTGGAGATTTGGACCGCTTTGAGGCCTGTGGTAGTAAAGGAAAGAACTTCATATAAAAACGAGACGGTAGCACTCTCAGAAAATTCTTTGTGACGATGGAGTTTAACTCAGAGAGCTGAACATTCGTTATGATGGAGCAGTTTCCAAACACACGTTTTGTAGAATCTGCAAGGGGATATTTGGACCTCTCTGAGGATTTCGTTGGAAACGGGATCAACTTCCCATAACTGAACGGTAGCAAACTCAGAACATTCTTTGTGATGTTTGTATTCAACTCACAGAGTTGAACCTTCCTTTGATAGTTCAGGTTTGCAACACCCTTGTAGTAGAATCTGCAAGTGTATATTTTGACCACTTTGTAGCCTTCGTTTGAAACGTCTATATCTTCACATCAAACCTAGACAGAAGCATTCTCAGAAAGTTTTCTGCGATGACTGCATTCAACTCACAGAGTTGAACAATCCTTCTGATGGAGCAGTTTTGAAACCCTCTTTCTTTGGAATGTGCAAGGGGATATGTGGACCTCTTTGAAGATTTCACTGGAAACGGGATCATCTTCACATAAAAACTAAACAGAAGCATTCTCGGAAACTACTTTGTGATGTTTGTATTCAACTCCCAGAGTTGAACTTTCCTTTTGAAAGAGCAGCTATGAAACACTCTTTTTCGAGAATCTGCAAGTGGACGTTTGGAGGGCTTGGAGGCCTGTGGTGGAAAAGGAAATATCTTCACATAAAACTAGATAGAAGCATTCTCAGAAACTACTTTGTGAGGATGGCATTCAACTCATGGAGTTGAACAATCCTATTGATAGAGCAGATTGGAATCACTCTTTTTGTAGAATCTGCAAATGGAGATTTGGACTGCTTTGAGGCCTACGGTCGTATAGGAAGGAACTTCATATAAAAGGCAAACGGAAGCATTCTCAGAATATTCTTTGTGATGATGGAGTTTCACTCACAGAGCTGAACATGCCTTTTGATGGAGCAGTTTCCAAATACACTTTTGGTAGAATCTGCAGGTGGATATTTGGAGCTCTTTGAGGATTTCGTTGGAAACGGGAATAATTTCCCAAAACTAAACACAAACACGCTGAGAAAGTTCTTCATGATGAATGCATTTAACTCGCAGAGATGAACCTGCCTTTGAGAGTTCAGGTTCGAAACACTCTTTCTGTATAATCTGCAAGTGGATATTTGGACCACTGGGTGGCCTTCGTTCGAAACGGGTATATGTTCACGTAAAAACTAAAGAGAAGCATTCTCAGAAACTTCTGAGTGATGATTGCATTCAAGTCACACGGTTGAACCCTCCTTTTGATGGAGCAGTTTTGAAACTGTCTTTTTGTAGAATCTGTAAGTGGATACGTGGACCTCTTTGAAGATTTCTTTGGAAACGGGAATATTTCCACAGAAAAACTAAACTGAAGCATTCTCAGAAACTGCTTTGTGATGTTTGTGTTCGAGCCACAGAGTTTAACATTGCTTTTCATAGAGCAGTTTTGAAATATTCTTTTGGCAGAATCTGCAAGTGGACATTTGGAGCGCTTTCAGGCCTGTGGTGGAAAAGGCCTGAAAGCCTTTTCCTTTATCTTCACAGAAAGACGAGAGAGAAGTATTGTCAGAAACTTCTTTGTGATGATTGCATTCAACTCACAGAGTTGAAGATTCCTTTTGAAACAGCAGTTTCGAAACACTCTTTCTGTGGGATCCGCAAGGGGATATTTGGACCTCTTTGAAGGTTTCGTTGGAAACGGGATAATCTTCACCTAAAAGCTAAACGGAAGCATTCTCAGAAACTTCTTTGGGATGTTTGCATTCACCTCACAGAGTTGAACTTTCCCTTTGATAGCGCAGCTTTGACACACTTTTTCTACAATGTGCAAGTGGCTATTTAGCGGGCTTGGAGGACTGTGTTGGAAAAGGAAATATCTTCTCCTAAAAACGACATAGAAGCATTCTCAGAAACTGCTCTGTGATGATTGCATTCAACTCCCAGAGTTGAACATTCCTTTTGATAGAGCAGTTTGCAAACACTCTTTTTGTAGAATCTGCAAGTGGAGATTTGGACCGCTTTGAGGCCTGTGGTAGTGAAGGAAAGAACTTCATATAAAAACCAGACGGTAGCACTCTCAGAAAATTCTTTGTGACGATGGAGTTTAACTCACGGAGCTGAACATTCGTTATGATGGAGCAGTTTCCAAACACACGTTTTGTAGAATCTGTGAGGGGATATTTGGACCTCTCTGAGGATTTCGTTGGAAACGGGATCAACTTCCCATAACTGAACGGAAGCAAACTCAGAACATTCTTTGTGATGTTTGTATTCAACTCACAGAGTTGAACCTTCCTTTGATAGTTCAGGTTTGCAACACCCTTGTAGTAGAATCTGCAAGTGTATATTTTGACCACTTTGTAGCCTTCGTTTGAAACGTCTATATCTTCACATCAAACCTAGACAGAAGCATTCTCAGAAAGTTTTCTGCGATGACTGCATTCAACTCACAGAGTTGAACAATCCTCTGATGGAGCAGTTTTGAAACCCTCTTTCTTTGGAATCTGCAAGGGGATATGTGGACCTCTTTGAAGATTTCACTGGAAACGGGATCATCTTCACATAAAAACTAAACAGAAGCATTCTCGGAAACTATTTTGTGATGTTTGTATTCAACTCCCAGAGTTGAACTTTCCTTTTGAAAGAGCAGCTATGAAACACTCTTTTTCGAGAATCTGCAAGTGGACGTTTGGAGGGCTTTGAGGCCTGTGGTGGAAAAGGAAATATCTTCACACAAAAACCAGATAGAAGCATTCTCAGAAACTACTTTGTGAGGATGGCATTCAACTCATGGAGTTGAACAATCCTATTGATAGAGCAGATTGGAATCACTCTTTTTATAGAATCTGCAAATGGAGATTTGGACTGCTTTGAGGCCTACGGTAGTACAGGAAGGAACTTCATATAAAAGGCAAACGGAAGCATTCTCAGAATATTCTTTGTGATGATGGAGTTTCACTCACAGAGCTGAACATGCCTTTTGATGGAGCAGTTTCCAAATACACTTTTGGTAGAATCTGCAGGTGGATATTTGGAGCTCTCTGAGGATTTCGTTGGAAACGGGAATAATTTCCCATAACTAAGCACAAACACTCTGAGAAAGTTCTTCATGATGAATGCATTCAACTCGCAGAGATGAACCTGCCTTTGAGAGTTCAGGTTCGAAACACTCTTTCTGTAGAATCTGCAAGTGGATATTTGGACCACTGGGTGGCCTTCGTTCGAAACGGGTATATGTTCACGTAAAAACTAAAGAGAAGCATTCTCAGAAACTTCTGAGTGATGATTGCATTCAAGTCACACAGTTGAACCCTCCTTTTGATGGAGCAGTTTTGAAACTGTCTTTTTGTAGAATCTGTAAGTGGATACGTGGACCTCTTTGAAGATTTCCTTTGGAAACGGGAATATTTCCACAGAAAAACTAAACTGAAGCATTCTCAGAAACCGCTTTGTGATGTTTGTGTTCGAGCCACAGAGTTTAACATTGCTTTTCATAGAGCAGTTTTGAAATATTCTTTTGGCAGAATCTGCAAGTGGACATTTGGAGCGCTTTCAGGCCTGTGGTGGAAAAGGCCTGAAAGCCTTTTCCTTTATCTTCACAGAAAGACGAGAGAGAAGCATTGTCAGAAACTTCTTTGTGATGATTGCATTCAACTCACAGAGTTGAAGATTCCTTTTGAAACAGCAGTTTCGAAACACTCTTTCTGTGGGATCCGCAAGGGGATATTTGGACCTCTTTGAAGGTTTCGTTGGAAACGGGATAATCTTCACCTAAAAGCTAAACGGAAGCATTCTCAGAAACTTCTTTGGGATGTTTGCATTCACCTCACAGAGTTGAACTTTCCCTTTGATAGCGCAGCTTTGACACACTTTTTCTACAATGTGCAAGTGGCTATTTAGCGGGCTTGGAGGACTGTGTTGGAAAAGGAAATATCTTCTCCTAAAAACGACATAGAAGCATTCTCAGAAACTGCTCTGTGATGATTGCATTCAACTCCCAGAGTTGAACATTCCTTTTGATAGAGCAGTTTGCAAACACTCTTTTTGTAGAATCTGCAAGTGGAGATTTGGACCGCTTTGAGGTCTGTGGTAGTGAAGGAAAGAACTTCATATAAAAACCAGACGGTAGCACTCTCAGAAAATTCTTTGTGACGATGGAGTTTAACTCAGGGAGCTGAACATTCGTTATGATGGAGCAGTTTCCAAACACACGTTTTGTAGAATCTGCAAGGGGATATTTGGACCTCTCTGAGGATTTCGTTGGAAACGGGATCAACTTCCCATAACTGAACGGAAGCAAACTCAGAACATTCTTTGTGATGTTTGTATTCAACTCACAGAGTTGAACCTTCCTTTGATAGTTCAGGTTTGCAACACCCTTGTAGTAGAATCTGCAAGTGTATATTTTGACCACTTTGTAGCCTTCGTTTGAAACGTCTATATCTTCACATCAAACCTAGACAGAAGCATTCTCAGAAAGTTTTCTGCGATGACTGCATTCAACTCACAGAGTTGAACAATCCTTCTGATGGAGCAGTTTTGAAACCCTCTTTCTTTGGAATCTGCAAGGGGATATGTGGACCTCTTTGAAGATTTCACTGGAAACGGGATCATCTTCACATAAAAACTAAACAGAAGCATTCTCGGAAACTACTTTGTGATGTTTGTATTCAACTCCCAGAGTTGAACTTTCCTTTTGAAAGAGCAGCTATGAAACACTCTTTTTCGAGAATCTGCAAGTGGACGTTTGGAGGGCTTTGAGGCCTGTGGTGGAAAAGGAAATATCTTCACACAAAAACCAGATAGAAGCATTCTCAGAAACTACTTTGTGAGGATGGCATTCAACTCATGGAGTTGAACAATCCTATTGATAGAGCAGATTGGAATCACTCTTTTTGTAGAATCTGCAAATGGAGATTTGGACTGCTTTGAGGCCTACGGTAGTACAGGAAGGAACTTCATATAAAAGGCAAACGGAAGCATTCTCAGAATATTCTTTCTGATGATGGAGTTTCACTGACAGAGCTGAACATGCCTTTTGATGGAGCAGTTTCCAAATACACTTTTGGTAGAATCTGCAGGTGGATATTTGGAGCTCTCTGAGGATTTCGTTGGAAACGGGAATAATTTCCCATAACTAAACACAAACACTCTGAGAAAGTTCTTCATGATGAATGCATTTAACTCGCAGAGATGAACCTGCCTTTGAGAGTTCAGGTTCGAAACACTCTTTCTGTAGAATCTGCAAGTGGATATTTGGACCACTGGCTGGCCTTCGTTCGAAACGGGTATATGTTCACGTAAAAACTAAAGAGAAGCATTCTCAGAAACTTCTGAGTGATGATTGCATTCAAGTCACACAGTTGAACCCTCCTTTTGATGGAGCAGTTTTGAAACTGTCTTTTTGTAGAATCTGTAAGTGGATGCGTGGACCTCTTTGAAGATTTCTTTGGAAACGGGAATATTTCCACAGAAAAACTAAACTGAAGCATTCTCAGAAACTGCTTGGTGATGTTTGTGTTCGAGCCACAGAGTTTAACATTGCTTTTCATAGAGCAGTTTTGAAATATTCTTTTCGCAGAATCTGCAAGTGGACATTTGGAGCGCTTTCAGGCCTGTGGTTGCAAAGGCCTGAAAGCCTTTTCCTTTATCTTCACAGAAAGACGAGAGAGAAGCATTGTCAGAAACTTCTTTGTGATGATTGCATTCAACTCACAGAGTTGAAGATTCCTTTTGAAACAGCAGTTTCGAAACACTCTTTCTGTGGGATCCGCAAGGGGATATTTGGACCTCTTTGAAGGTTTCGTTGGAAACGGGATAATCTTCACCTAAAAGCTAAACGGAAGCATTCTCAGAAACTTCTTTGGGATGTTTGCATTCACCTCACAGAGTTGAACTTTCCCTTTGATAGCGCAGCTTTGACACACTTTTTCTACAATGTGCAAGTGGCTATTTAGCGGGCTTGGAGGACTGTGTTGGAAAAGGAAATATCTTCTCCTAAAAACGACATAGAAGCATTCTCAGAAACTGCTCTGTGATGATTGCATTCAACTCCCAGAGTTGAACATTCCTTTTGATAGAGCAGTTTGCAAACTCTCTTTTTGTAGAATCTGCAAGTGGAGATTTGGACCGCTTTGAGGCCTGGGGTAGTGAAGGAAAGAACTTCATATAAAAACCAGACGGTAGCACTCTCAGAAAATTCTTTGTGACGATGGAGTTTAACTCAGGGAGCTGAACATTCATTATGATGGAGCAGTTTCCAAACACACGTTTTGTAGAATCTGCAAGGGGATATTTGGACCTCTCTGAGGATTTCGTTGGAAACGGGATCAACTTCCCATAACTGAACGGAAGCAAACTCAGAACATTCTTTGTGATGTTTGTATTCAACTCACAGAGTTGAACCTTCCTTTGATAGTTCAGGTTTGCAACACCCTTGTAGTAGAATCTGCAAGTGTATATTTTGACCACTTTGTAGCCTTCGTTTGAAACGTCTATATCTTCACATCAAACCTAGACAGAAGCATTCTCAGAAAGTTTTCTGCGATGGCTGCATTCAACTCACAGAGTTGAACAATCCTTCTGATGGAGCAGTTTTGAAACCCTCTTTCTTTGGAATCTGCAAGGGGATATGTGGACCTCTTTGAAGATTTCACTGGAAACGGGATCGATCATCTTCACATAAAAACTAAACAGAAGCATTCTCGGAAACTACTTTGTGATGTTTGTATTCAACTCCCAGAGTTGAACTTTCCTTTTGAAAGAGCAGCTATGAAACACTCTTTTTCGAGAATCTGCAAGTGGACGTTTGGAGGGCTTTGAGGCCTGTGGTGGAAAAGGAAATATCTTCACACAAAAACCAGATAGAAGCATTCTCAGAAACTACTTTGTGAGGATGGCATTCAACTCATGGAGTTGAACAATCCTATTGATAGAGCAGATTGGAATCACTCTTTTTATAGAATCTGCAAATGGAGATTTGGACTGCTTTGAGGACTACGGTAGTACAGGAAGGAACTTCATATAAAAGGCAAACGGAAGCATTCTCAGAATATTCTTTGTGATGATGGAGTTTCACTCACAGAGCTGAACATGCCTTTTGATGGAGCAGTTTCCAAATACACTTTTGGTAGAATCTGCAGGTGGATATTTGGAGCTCTCTGAGGATTTCGTTGGAAACGGGAATAATTTCCCATAACTAAACACAAACACTCTGAGAAAGTTCTTCATGATGAATGCATTTAACTCGCAGAGATGAACCTGCCTTTGAGAGTTCAGGTTCGAAACACTCTTTCTGTAGAATCTGCAAGTGGATATTTGGACCACTGGGTGGCCTTCGTTCAAAACGGGTATATGTTCACGTAAAAACTAAAGAGAAGCATTCTCAGAAACTTCTGAGTGATGATTGCATTCAAGTCACACGGTTGAACCCTCCTTTTGATGGAGCAGTTTTGAAACTGTCTTTTTGTAGAATCTGTAAGTGGATACGTGGACCTCTTTGAAGATTTCTTTGGAAACGGGAATATTTCCACAGAAAAACTAAACTGAAGCATTCTCAGAAACCGCTTTGTGATGTTTGTGTTCGAGCCACAGAGTTTAACATTGCTTTTCATAGAGCAGATTTGAAATATTCTTTTCGCAGAATCTGCAAGTGGACATTTGGAGCGCTTTCAGGCCTGTGGTGGAAAAGGCCTGAAAGCCTTTTCCTTTATCTTCACAGAAAGACGAGAGAGAAGCATTGTCAGAAACTTCTTTGCGATGATTGCATTCAACTCACAGAGTTGAAGATTCCTTTTGAAACAGCAGTTTCGAAACACTCTTTCTGTGGGATCCGCAAGGGGATATTTGGACCTCTTTGAAGGTTTCGTTGGAAACGGGATAATCTTCACCTAAAAGCTAAACGGAAGCATTCTCAGAAACTTCTTTGGGATGTTTGCATTCACCTCACAGAGTTGAACTTTCCCTTTGATAGCGCAGCTTTGACACACTTTTTCTACAATGTGCAAGTGGCTATTTAGCGGGCTTGGAGGACTGTGTTGGAAAAGGAAATATCTTCTCCTAAAAACGACATAGAAGCATTCTCAGAAACTGCTCTGTGATGATTGCATTCAACTCCCAGGAGTTGAACATTCCTTTTGATAGAGCAGTTTGCAAACACTCTTTTTGTAGAATCTGCAAGTGGAGATTTGGACCGCTTTGAGGCCTGTGGTAGTGAAGGAAAGAACTTCATATAAAAACCAGACGGTAGCACTCTCAGAAAATTCTTTGTGACGATGGAGTTTAACTCAGGGAGCTGAACATTCGTTATGATGGAGCAGTTTCCAAACACACGTTTTGTAGAATCTGCAAGGGGATATTTGGACCTCTCTGAGGATTTCGTTGGAAACGGGATCAACTTCCCATAACTGAACGGAAGCAAACTCAGAACATTCTTTGTGATGTTTGTATTCAACTCACAGAGTTGAACCTTCCTTTGATAGTTCAGGTTTGCAACACCCTTGTAGTAGAATCTGCAAGTGTATATTTTGACCACTTTGTAGCCTTCGTTTGAAACGTCTATATCTTCACATCAAACCTAGAAAGAAGCATTCTCAGAAAGTTTTCTGCGATGACTGCATTCCACTCACAGAGTTGAACAATCCTTCTGATGGAGCAGTTTTGAAACCCTCTTTCTTTGGAATCTGCAAGGGGATATGTGGACCTCTTTGAAGATTTCACTGGAAACGGGATCATCTTCACATAAAAACTAAACAGAAGCATTCTCGGAAACTATTTTGTGATGTTTGTATTCAACTCCCAGAGTTGAACTTTCCTTTTGAAAGAGCAGCTATGAAACACTCTTTTTCGAGAATCTGCAAGTGGACGTTTGGAGGGCTTTGAGGCCTGTGGTGGAAAAGGAAATATCTTCACACAAAAACCAGATAGAAGCATTCTCAGAAACGACTTTGTGAGGATGGCATTCAACTCATGGAGTTGAACAATCCTATTGATACAGCAGATTGGAATCACTCTTTTTGTAGAATCTGCAAATGGAGATTTGGACTGCTTTGAGGCCTACGGTAGTACAGGAAGGAACTTCATATAAAAGGCAAACGGAAGCATTCTCAGAATATTCTTTGTGATGATGGAGTTTCACTGACAGAGCTGAACATGCCTTTTGATGGAGCAGTTTCCAAATACACTTTTGGTAGAATCTGCAGGTGGATATTTGGAGCTCTCTGAGGATTTCGTTGGAAACGGGAATAATTTCCCATAACTAAACACAAACACTCTGAGAAAGTTCTTCATGATGAATGCATTTAACTCGCAGAGATGAACCTTCCTTTGAGAGTTCAGGTTCGAAACACTCTTTCTGTATAATCTGCAAGTGGATATTTGGACCACTGGGTGGCCTTCGTTCGAAACGGGTATATGTTCACGTAAAAACTAAAGAGAAGCATTCTCAGAAACTTCTGAGTGATGATTGCATTCAAGTCACACAGTTGAACCCTCCTTTTGATGGAGCAGTTTTGAAACTGTCTTTTTGTAGAATCTGTAAGTGGATACGTGGACCTCTTTGAAGATTTCTTTGGAAACGGGAATATTTCCACAGAAAAACTAAACTGAAACATTCTCAAAAACCGCTTTGTGATGTTTGTGTTCGAGCCACAGAGTTTAACATTGCTTTTCATAGAGCAGTTTTGAAATATTCTTTTCGCAGAATCTGCAAGTGGACATTTGGAGCGCTTTCAGGCCTGTGGTGGCAAAGGCCTGAAAGCCTTTTCCTTTATCTTCACAGAAAGACGAGAGAGAAGCATTGTCAGAAACTTCTTTGTGATGATTGCATTCAACTCACAGAGTTGAAGATTCCTTTTGAAACAGCTGTTTCGAAACACTCTTTCTGTGGGATCCGCAAGGGGATATTTGGACCTCTTTGAAGGTTTCGTTGGAAACGGGATAATCTTCACCTAAAAGCTAAACGGAAGCATTCTCAGAAACTTCTTTGGGATGTTTGCATTCACCTCACAGAGTTGAACTTTCCCTTTGATAGCGCAGCTTCGACACACTTTTTCTACAATGTGCAAGTGGATATTTAGCGGGCTTGGAGGACTGTGTTGGAAAAGGAAATATCTTCTCCTAAAAACGACATAGAAGCATTCTCAGAAACTGCTCTGTGATGATTGCATTCAACTCCCAGAGTTGAACATTCCTTTTGATAGAGCAGTTTGCAAACACTCTTTTTGTAGAATCTGCAACTGGAGATTTGGACCGCTTTGAGGCCTGTGGTAGTAAAGGAAAGAACTTCATATAAAAACCAGACGGTAGCACTCTCAGAAAATTCTTTGTGACGATGGAGTTTAACTCAGAGAGCTGAACATTCGTTATGATGGAGCAGTTTCCAAACACACGTTTTGTAGAATCTGCAAGGGGATATTTGGACCTCTCTGAGGATTTCGTTGGAAACGGGATCAACTTCCCATAACTGAACAGAAGCAAACTGAGAACATTCTTTGTGATGTTTGTATTCAACTCACAGAGTTGAACCTTCCTTTGATAGTTGAGGTTTGCAACACCCTTGTAGGAGAATCTGCAAGTGTATATTTTGACCACTTTGTAGCCTTCGTTTGAAACGTCTATATCTTCACCTCAAACCTAGACAGAAGCATTCTCAGAAAGTTTTCTGCGATGACTGCATTCAACTCACAGAGTTGAACAATCCTTTTGATGGAGCAGTTTTGAAACCCTCTTTCTTTGGAATCTGCAAGGGGATATGTGGACCTCTTTGAAGATTTCACTGGAAACGGGATCATCTTCACATAAGAACTAAACAGAAGCATTCTCGGAAACTACTTTGTGATGTTTGTATTCAACTCCCAGAGTTGAACTTTCCTTTTGAAAGAGCAGCTATGAAACACTCTTTTTCGAGAATCTGCAAGTGGACGTTTGGAGGGCTTTGAGGCCTGTGGTGGAAAAGGAAATATCTTCACATAAAAACTAGATAGAAGCATTCTCAGAAACTACTTTGTGACGATGGCATTCAACTCATGGAGTTGAACAATCCTATTGATAGAGCAGATTGGAATCACTCTTTTTGTAGAATCTGCAAATGGAGATTTGGACTGCTTTGAGGCCTACGGTCGTATAGGAAGGAACTTCATATAAAAGGCAAACGGAAGCATTCTCAGAATATTCTTTGTGATGATGGAGTTTCACTCACAGAGCTGAACATGCCTTTTGATGGAGCAGTTTCCAAATACACTTTTGGTAGAATCTGCAGGTGGATATTTGGAGCTCTCTGAGGATTTCGTTGGAAACGGGAATAATTTCCCATAACTAAACACAAACACTCTGAGAAAGTTCTTCATGATGAATGCATTTAACTCGCAGAGATGAACCTGCCTTTGAGAGTTCAGGTTGGAAACACTCTTTCTGTAGAATCTGCAAGTGGATATTTGGACCACTGGGTGGCCTTCGTTCGAAACGGGTATATGTTCACGTAAAAACTAAAGAGAAGCATTCTCAGAAACTTCTGAGTGATGATTGCATTCAAGTCACACAGTTGAACCCTCCTTTTGATGGAGCAGTTTTGAAACTGTCTTTTTGTAGAATCTGTAAGTGGATACGTGGACCTCTTTGAAGATTTCTTTGGAAACGGGAATATTTCCACAGAAAAACTAAACTGAAGCATTCTCAGAAACCGCTTTGTGATGTTTGTGTTCGAGCCACAGAGTTTAACATTGCTTTTCATAGAGCAGTTTTGAAATATTCTTTTCGCAGAATCTGCAAGTGGACATTTGGAGCGCTTTCAGGCCTGTGGTGGAAAAGGCCTGAAAGCCTTTTCCTTTATCTTCACAGAAAGACGAGAGAGAAGCATTGTCAGAAACTTCTTTGTGATGATTGCATTCAACTCACAGAGTTGAAGATTCCTTTTGAAACAGCAGTTTCGAAACACTCTTTCTGTGGGATCCGCAAGGGGATATTTGGACCTCTTTGAAGGTTTCGTTGGAAACAGGATAATCTTCACCTAAAAGCTAAACGGAAGCATTCTCAGAAACTTCTTTGGGATGTTTGCATTCACCTCACAGAGTTGAACTTTCCCTTTGATAGCGCAGCTTTGACACACTTTTTCTACAATGTGCAAGTGGCTATTTAGCGGGCTTGGAGGACTGTGTTGGAAAAGGAAATATCTTCTCCTAAAAACGACATAGAAGCATTCGCAGAAACTGCTCTGTGATGATTGCATTCAACTCCCAGAGTTGAACATTCCTTTTGATAGAGCAGTTTGCAAACACTCTTTTTGTAGAATCTGCAAGTGGAGATTTGGACCGCTTTGAGGCCTGTGGTAGTGAAGGAAAGAACTTCATATAAAAACCAGACGGTAGCACTCTCAGAAAATTCTTTGTGACGATGGAGTTTAACTCAGGGAGCTGAACATTCGTTATGATGGAGCAGTTTCCAAACACACGTTTTGTAGAATCTGCAAGGGGATATTTGGACCTCTCTGAGGATTTCGTTGGAAACGGGATCAACTTCCCATAACTGAACGGAAGCAAACTCAGAACATTCTTTGTGATGTTTGTATTCAACTCACAGAGTTGAACCTTCCTTTGATAGTTCAGGTTTGCAACACCCTTGTAGTAGTATCTGCAAGTGTATATTTTGACCACTTTGTAGCCTTCATTTGAAACGTCTATATCTTCACATCAAACCTAGACAGAAGCATTCTCAGAAAGTTTTCTGCGATGACTGCATTCAACTCACAGAGTTGAACAATCCTTCTGATGGAGCAGTTTTGAAACCCTCTTTCTTTGGAATCTGCAAGGGGATATGTGGACCTCTTTGAAGATTTCACTGGAAACGGGATCATCTTCACATAAAAACTAAACAGAAGCATTCTTGGAAACTACTTTGTGATGTTTGTATTCAACTCCCAGAGTTGAACTTTCCTTTTGAAAGAGCAGCTATGAAACACTCTTTTTCGAGAATCTGCAAGTGGACGTTTGGAGGGCTTTGAGGCCTGTGGTGGAAAAGGAAATATCTTCACATAAAACTAGATAGAAGCATTCTCAGAAACTACTTTGTGAGGATGGCATTCAACTCATGGAGTTGAACAATCCTATTGATAGAGCAGATTGGAATCACTCTTTTTGTAGAATCTGCAAATGGAGATTTGGACTGCTTTGAGGCCTACGGTCGTATAGGAAGGAACTTCATATAAAAGGCAAACGGAAGCATTCTCAGAATATTCTTTGTGATGATGGAGTTTCACTCACAGAGCTGAACATGCCTTTTGATGGAGCAGTTTCCAAATACACTTTTGGTAGAATCAGCAGGTGGATATTTGGAGCTCTCTGAGGATTTCGTTGGAAACGGGAATAATTTCCCATAACTAAACACAAACACTCTGAGAAAGTTCTTCATGATGAATGCATTTAACTTGCAGAGATGAACTTGCCTTTGAGAGTTCAGGTTCGAAACACTCTTTCTGTATAATCTGCAAGTGGATATTTGGACCACTGGGTGGCCTTCGTTCGAAACGGGTATATGTTCACGTAAAAACTAAAGAGAAGCATTCTCAGAAACTTCTGAGTGATGATTGCATTCAAGTCACACAGTTGAACCCTCCTTTTGATGGAGCAGTTTTGAAACTGTCTTTTTGTAGAATCTGTAAGTGGATACGTGGACCTCTTTGAAGATTTCTTTGGAAACGGGAATATTTCCACAGAAAAACTAAACTGAAGCATTCTCAGAAACTGCTTTGTGATGTTTGTGTTCGAGCCACAGAGTTTAACATTGCTTTTCATAGAGCAGTTTTGAAATATTCTTTTGGCAGAATCTACAAGTGGACATTTGGAGCGCTTTCAGGCCTGTGGTGGCAAAGGCCTGAAAGCCTTTTCCTTTATCTTCACAGAAAGACGAGAGAGAAGCATTGTCAGAAACTTCTTTGTGATGATTGCATTCAACTCACAGAGTTGAAGATTCCTTTTGAAACAGCAGTTTCGAAACACTCTTTCTGTGGGATCCGCAAGGGGATATTTGGACCTCTTTGAAGGTTTCGTTGGAAACGGGATAATCTTCACCTAAAAGCTAAACGGAAGCACTCTCAGAAACTTCTTTGGGATGTTTGCATTCACCTCACAGAGTTGAACTTTCCCTTTGATAGCGCAGCTTTGACACACTTTTTCTACAATGTGCAAGTGGCTATTTAGCGGGCTTGGAGGACTGTGTTGGAAAAGGAAATATCTTCTCCTAAAAACGACATAGAAGCATTCTCAGAAACTGCTCTGTGATGATTGCATTCAACTCCCAGGGTTGAACATTCCTTTTGATAGAGCAGTTTGCAAACACTCTTTTTGTAGAATCTGCAAGTGGAGATTTGGACCGCTTTGAGGCCTGTGGTAGTGAAGGAAAGAGCTTCATATAAAAACCAGACGGTAGCACTCTCAGAAAATTCTTTGTGACGATGGAGTTTAACTCAGGGAGCTGAACATTCGTTATGATGGAGCAGTTTCCAAACACACGTTTTGTAGTATCTGCAAGGGGATATTTGGACCTCTCTGAGGATTTCGTTGGAAACGGGATCAACTTCCCATAACTGAACGGAAGCAAACTCAGAACATTCTTTGTGATGTTTGTATTCAACTCACAGAGTTGAACCTTCCTTTGATAGTTCAGGTTTGCAACACCCTTGTAGTAGAATCTGCAAGTGTATATTTTGACCACTTTGTAGCCTTCGTTTGAAACGTCTATATCTTCACATCAAACCTAGACAGAAGCATTCTCAGAAAGTTTTCTGCGATGACTGCATTCAACTCACAGAGTTGAACAATCCTTCTGATGGAGCAGTTTTGAAACCCTCTTTCTTTGGAATCTGCAAGGGTATATGTGGACCTCTTTGAAGATTTCACTGGAAACGGGATCATCTTCACATAAAAACTAAACAGAAGCATTCTCGGAAACTACTTTGTGATGTTTGTATTCAACTGCCAGAGTTGAACTTTCCTTTTGAAAGAGCAGCTATGAAACACTCTTTTTCGAGAATCTGCAAGTGGACGTTTGGAGGGCTTTGAGGCCTGTGGTGGAAAAGGAAATATCTTCACATAAAAACTAGATAGAAGCATTCTCAGAAACGACTTTGGAGGATGGCATTCAACTCATGGAGTTGAACAATCCTATTGATAGAGCAGATTGGAATCACTCTTTTTGTAGAATCTGCAAATGGAGATTTGGACTGCTTTGAGGCCTACGGTCGTATAGGAAGGAACTTCAGATAAAAGGCAAACGGAAGCATTCTCAGAATATTCTTTGTGATGATGGAGTTTCACTCACAGAGCTGAACATGCCTTTTGATGGAGCAGTTTCCAAATACACTTTTGGTAGAATCTGCAGGTGGATATTTGGAGCTCTCTGAGGATTTCGTTGGAAACGGGAATAATTTCCCATAACTAAACACAAACACGCTGAGAAAGTTCTTCATGAGGAATGCATTTAACTCGCAGAGATGAACCTGCCTTTGAGAGTTCAGGTTCGAAACACTCTTTCTGTATAATCTGCAAGTGGATATTTGGACCACTGGGTGGCCTTCGTTCGAAACGGGTATATGTTCACGTAAAAACTAAAGAGAAGCATTCTCAGAAACTTCTGAGTGATGATTGCATTCAAGTCACACAGTTGAACCCTCCTTTTGATGGAGCAGTTTTGAAACTGTCTTTTTGTAGAATCTGTAAGTGGATACGTGGACCTCTTTGAAGATTTCTTTGGAAACGGGAATATTTCCACAGAAAAACTAAACTGAAGCATTCTCAGAAACCGCTTTGTGATGTTTGTGTTCGAGCCACAGAGTTTAACATTGCTTTTCATAGAGCAGTTTTGAAATATTCTTTTCGCAGAATCTGCAAGTGGACATTTGGAGCGCTTTCAGGCCTGTGGTGGCAAAGGCCTGAAAGCCTTTTCCTTTATCTTCACAGAAAGACGAGAGAGAAGCATTGTCAGAAACTTCTTTGTGATGATTGCATTCAACTCACAGAGTTGAAGATTCCTTTTGAAACAGCAGTTTCGGAACACTCTTTCTGTGGGATCCGCAAGGGGATATTTGGACCTCTTTGAAGGTTTCGTTGGAAACGGGATAATCTTCACCTAAAAGCTAAACGGAAGCATTCTCAGAAACTTCTTTGGGATGTTTGCATTCACCTCACAGAGTTGAACTTTCCCTTTGATAGCGCAGCTTTGACACACTTTTTCTACAATGTGCAAGTGGCTATTTAGCGGGCTTGGAGGATTGTGTTGGAAAAGGAAATATCTTCTCCTAAAAACGACATAGAAGCATTCTCAGAAACTGCTCTGTGATGATTGCATTCAACTCCCAGAGTTGAACATTCCTTTTGATAGAGCAGTTTGCAAACACTCTTTTTGTAGAATCTGCAAGTGGAGATTTGGACCGCTTTGAGGCCTGTGGTAGTGAAGGAAAGAACTTCATATAAAAAACAGACGGTAGCACTCTCAGAAAATTCTTTGTGACGATGGAGTTTAACTCAGGGAGCTGAACATTCGTTATGATGGAGCAGTTTCCAAACACACGTTTTGTAGAATCTGCAAGGGGATATTTGGACCTCTCTGAGGATTTCGTTGGAAACGGGATCAACTTCCCATAACTGAACGGAAGCAAACTCAGAACATTCTTTGTGATGTTTGTATTCAATTCACAGAGTTGAACCTTCCTTTGATAGTTCAGGTTTGCAACACCCTTGTAGTAGAATCTGCAAGTGTATATTTTGACCACTTTGTAGCCTTCGTTTGAAACGTCTATATCTTCACATCAAACCTAGACAGAAGCATTCTCAGAAAGTTTTCTGCGATGACTGCATTCAACTCACAGAGTTGAACAATCCTTTTGATGGAGCAGTTTTGAAACCCTCTTTCTTTGGAATCTGCAAGGGGATATGTGGACCTCTTTGAAGATTTCACTGGAAACGGGATCATCTTCACATAAGAACTAAACAGAAGCATTCTCGGAAACTACTTTGTGATGTTTGTATTCAACTCCCAGAGTTGAACTTTCCTTTTGAAAGAGCAGCTATGAAACACTCTTTTTCGAGAATCTGCAAGTGGACGTTTGGAGGGCTTTGAGGCCTGTGGTGGAAAAGGAAATATCTTCACATAAAAACTAGATAGAAGCATTCTCAGAAACGACTTTGTGAGGATGGCATTCAACTCATGGAGTTGAACAATCCTAATGATAGAGCACATTGGAATCACTCTTTTTGTAGAATCTGCAAATGGAGATTTGGACTGCTATGAGGCCTACGGTAGTATAGGAAGGAACTTCATATAAAAGGCAAACGGAAGCATTCTCAGAATATTCTTTGTGATGATGGAGTTTCACTCACAGAGCTGAACATGCCTTTTGATGGAGCAGTTTCCAAATACACTTTTGGTAGAATCGGCAGGTGGATATTTGGACCTCTCTGAGGATTTCGTTGGAAACGGGAATAATTTCCCATAACTAAACACAAACACTCTGAGAAAGTTCTTCATGATGAATGCATTTAACTCGCAGAGATGAACCTGCCTTTGAGAGTTCAGGTTCGAAACACTCTTTCTGTATAATCTGCAAGTGGATATTTGGACCACTGGGTGGCCTTCTTTCGAAACGGGTATATGTTCACGTAAAAACTAAAGAGAAGCATTCTCAGAAACTTCTGAGTGATGATTGCATTCAAGTCACACAGTTGAACCCTCCTTTTGATGGAGCAGTTTTGAAACTGTCTTTTTGTAGAATCTGTAAGTGGATACGTGGACCTCTTTGAAGATTTCTTTGGAAACGGGAATATTTCCACAGAAAAACTAAACTGAAACATTCTCAGAAACAGCTTTGTGATGTTTGTGTTCCAGCCACAGAGTTTAACATTGCTTTTCATAGAGCAGTTTTGAAATATTCTTTTCGCAGAATCTGCAAGTGGACATTTGGAGCGCTTTCAGGCCTGTGGTGGCAAAGGCCTGAAAGCCTTTTCCTTTATCTTCACAGAAAGACGAGAGAGAAGCATTGTCAGAAACTTCTTTGTGATGATTGCATTCAACTCACAGAGTTGAAGATTCCTTTTGAAACAGCTGTTTCGAAACACTCTTTCTGTGGGATCCGCAAGGGGATATTTGGACCTCTTTGAAGGTTTCGTTGGAAACGGGATAATCTTCACCTAAAAGCTAAACGGAAGCATTCTCAGAAACTTCTTTGGGATGTTTGCATTCACCTCACAGAGTTGAACTTTCCCTTTGATAGCGCAGCTTTGACACACTTTTTCTACAATGTGCAAGTGGCTATTTAGCGGGCTTGGAGGACTGTGTTGGAAAAGGAAATATCTTCTCCTAAAAACGACATAGAAGCATTCTCAGAAACTGCTCTGTGATGATTGCATTCAACTCCCAGAGTTGAACATTCCTTTTGATAGAGCAGTTTGCAAACACTCTTTTTGTAGAATCTGCAAGTGGAGATTTGGACCGCTTTGAGGCCTGTGGTAGTGAAGGAAAGAACTTCATATAAAAACCAGACGGTAGCACTCTCAGAAAATTCTTTGTGACGATGGAGTTTAACTCAGGGAGCTGAACATTCGTTATGATGGAGCAGTTTCCAAACACACGTTTTGTAGAATCTGCAAGGGGATATTTGGACCTCTCTGAGGATTTCGTTGGAAACGGGATCAACTTCCCATAACTGAACGGAAGCAAACTCAGAACATTCTTTGTGATGTTTGTATTCAACTCACAGAGTTGAACCTTCCTTTGATAGTTCAGGTTTGCAACACCCTTGTAGTAGAATCTGCAAGTGTATATTTTGACCACTTTGTAGCCTTCGTTTGAAACGTCTATATCTTCACATCAAACCTAGACAGAAGCATTCTCAGAAAGTTTTCTGCGATGACTGCATTCAACTCACAGAGTTGAACAATCCTTCTGATGGAGCAGTTTTGAAACCCTCTTTCTTTGGAATCTGCAAGGGGATATGTGGACCTCTTTGAAGATTTCACTGGAAACGGGATCATCTTCACATAAAAACTAAACAGAAGCATTCTCGGAAACTACTTTGTGATGTTTGTATTCAACTCCCAGAGTTGAACTTTCCTTTTGAAAGAGCAGCTATGAAACACTCTTTTTCGAGAATCTGAAAGTGGACGTTTGGAGGGCTTTGAGGCCTGTGGTGGAAAAGGAAATATCTTCACATAAAAACTAGATAGAAGCATTCTCAGAAACGACTTTGTGAGGATGGCATTCAACTCATGGAGTTGAACAATCCTATTGATAGAGCAGATTGGAATCACTCTTTTTGTAGAATCTGCAAATGGAGATTTGGACTGCTTTGAGGCCTACGGTAGTATAGGAAGGAACTTCATATAAAAGGCAAACGGAAGCATTCTCAGAATATTCTTTGTGATGATGGAGTTTCACTCACAGAGCTGAACATGCCTGTTGTTGGAGCAGTTTCCAAATACACTTTTGGTAGAATCTGCAGGTGGACATTTGGACCTCTCTGAGGATTTCGTTGGGAAAAGGAGTAATTTCCCATAACTAAACACAAACACGCTGAGAAAGTTCTTCATGACGAATGCATTTAACTCGCAGAGATGAACCTGCCTTTGAGAGTTCAGGTTCGAAACACTCTTTCTGTAGAATCTGCAGGTGGATATTTGGACCACTGGGTGGCCTTCGTTCGAAACGGGTATATGTTCACGTAAAAACTAAAGAGAAGCATTCTCAGAGAGTTCTGAGTGATGATTGCTTTCAAGTCGCACAGTTGAACCCTCCTTTTGATTGAGCAGTTTTGAAACTGTCTTTTTGTAGGATCTGTAAGTGGATACGTGGACCTCTTTGAAGATTTCTTTGGAAACGGGAATATTTCCACAGAAAAACTAAACTGAAGCATTCTCAGAAACCGCTTTGTGATGTTTGTGTTCGAGCCACAGTAGTTTAACATTGCTTTTCATAGCAGCAGTTTTGAAATATTCTTTTCGCAGAATCTGCAAGTGGACATTTGGAGCGCTTTCAGGCCTGTGGTGGCAAAGGCCTGAAAGCCTTTTCCTTTATCTTCACAGAAAGACGAGAGAGAAGCATTGTCAGAAACTTCTTTGTGATGATTGCATTCAACTCACAGAGTTGAAGATTCCTTTTGAAACAGCAGTTTCGAAACACTCTTTCTGTGGGATCCGCAAGGGGATATTTGGACCTCTTTGAAGATTTCGTTGGAAACGGGATAATCTTCACCTAAAAGCTAAACGGAAGCATTCTCAGAAACTTCTTTGGGATGTTTGCATTCACCTCACAGAGTTGAACTTTCCCTTTGATAGCACAGCTTCGACACACTTTTTCTACAATGTGCAAGTGGATATTTAGCGGGCTTGGAGGACTGTGTTGGAAAAGGAAATATCTTCTCCTAAAAACGACATAGAAGCATTCTCAGAAACTGCTCTGTGATGATTGCATTCAACTCCCAGAGTTGAACATTCCTTTTGATAGAGCAGTTTGCAAACACTCTTTTTGTAGAATCTGCAAGTGGAGATTTGTACCGCTTTGAGGCCTGTGGTAGTAAAGGAAAGAACTTCATATAAAAACCAGATGGTAGCACTCTCAGAAAATTCTTTGTGACGATGGAGTTTAACTCAGAGAGCTGAACATTCGTTATGATGGAGCAGTTTCCAAACACACGTTTTGTAGAATCTGCAAGGGGATATTTGGACCTCTCTGAGGATTTCGTTGGAAACGGGATCAACTTCCCATAACTGAACGGAAGCAAACTCAGAACATTCTTTGTGATGTTTGTATTCAACTCACAGAGTTGAACCTTCCTTTGATAGTTCAGGTTTGCAACACCCTTGTAGTAGAATCTGCAAGTGTATATTTTGACCACTTTGTAGCCTTCGTTTGAAACGTCTATATCTTCACCTCAAACCTAGACAGAAGCATTCTCAGAAAGTTTTCTGCGATGACTGCATTCAACTCACAGAGTTGAACAATCCTTTTGATGGAGCAGTTTTGAAACCCTCTTTCTTTGGAATCTGCAAGGGGATATGTGGACCTCTTTGAAGATTTCACTGGAAACGGGATCATCTGCACATAAGAACTAAACAGAAGCATTCTCGGAAACTATTTTGTGATGTTTGTATTCAACTCCCAGAGTTGAACTTTCCTTTTGAAAGAGCAGCTATGAAACACTCTTTTTCTAGAATCTGCAAGTGGACGTTTGGAGGGCTTTGAGGCCTGTGGTGGAAAAGGAAATATCTTCACACAAAAACCAGATAGAAGCATTCTCAGAAACTACTTTGTGAGGATGGCATTCAACTCATGGAGTTGAACAATCCTATTGATAGAGCAGATTGGAATCACTCTTTTTGTAGAATCTGCAAATGGAGATTTGGACTGCTTTGAGACCTACGGTAGTATAGGAAGGAACTTCATATAAAAGGCAAACGGAAGCATTCTCAGAATATTCTTTGTGATGATGGAGTTCCACTCACAGAGCTGAACATGCCTTTTCATGGAGCAGTTTCGAAATACACTTTTCGTAGAATCTGCAGGTGGATATTTGGACCTCTCTGAGGATTTCGTTGGAAACGGGAATAATTTCCCATAACTAAACACAAACACTCTGAGAAAGTTCTTCATGATGAATGCATTTAACTCGCAGAGATGAACCTGCCTTTGAGAGTTCAGGTTGGAAACACTCTTTCTGTAGAATCTGCAAGTGGATATTTGGACCACTGGGTGGCCTTCGTTCGAAACGGGTATATGTTCACGTAAAAACTAAAGAGAAGCATTCTCAGAAACTTCTGAGTGATGATTGCATTCAAGTCACACAGTTGAACCCTCCTTTTGATGGAGCAGTTTTGAAACTGTCTTTTTGTAGAATCTGTAAGTGGATGCGTGGACCTCTTTGAAGATTTCTTTGGAAACGGGAATATTTCCACAGAAAAACTAAACTGAAGCATTCTCAGAAACCGCGTTGTGATGTTTGTGTTCGAGCCACTGAGTTTAACATTGCTTTTCACAAAGCAGTTTTGAAATATTCTTTTCGCAGAATCTGCAAGTGGACATTTGGAGCGCTTTCAGGCCTGTGGTGGAAAAGGCCTGAAAGCCTTTTCCTTTATCTTCACAGAAAGACGAGAGAGAAGCATTGTCAGAAACTTCTTTGTGATGATTGCATTCAACTCACAGAGTTGAAGATTCCTTTTGAAACAGCAGTTTCGAAACACTCTTTCTGTGGGATCCGCAAGGGGATATTTGGACCTCTTTGAAGGTTTCGTTGGAAACGGGATAATCTTCACCTAAAAGCTAAACGGAAGCATTCTCAGAAACTTCTTTGGGATGTTTGCATTCACCTCACAGAGTTGAACTTTCCCTTTGATAGCGCAGCTTTGACACACTTTTTCTACAATGTGCAAGTGGCTATTTAGCGGGCTTGGAGGACTGTGTTGGAAAAGGAAATATCTTCTCCTAAAAACGACATAGAAGCATTCTCAGAAACTGCTCTGTGATGATTGCATTCAACTCCCAGAGTTGAACATTCCTTTTGATAGAGCAGTTTGCAAACACTCTTTTTGTAGAATCTGCAAGTGGAGATTTGGACCGCTTTGAGGACTGGGGTAGTAAAGGAAAGAGCTTCATATAAAAACCAGACGGTAGCACTCTCAGAAAATTCTTTGTGACGATGGAGTTTAACTCAGGGAGCTGAACATTCGTTATGATGGAGCAGTTTCCAAACACACGTTTTGTAGAATCTGCAAGGGGATATTTGGACCTCTCTGAGGATTTCGCTGGAAACGGGATCAACTTCCCATAACTGAACGGAAGCAAACTCAGAACATTCTTTGTGATGTTTGTATTCAACTCACAGAGTTGAACCTTCCTTTGATAGTTCAGGTTTGCAACACCCTTGTAGTAGAATCTGCAAGTGTATATTTTGACCACTTTGTAGCCTTCGTTTGAAACGTCTATATCTTCACATCAAACCTAGAAAGAAGCATTCTCAGAAAGTTTTCTGCGATGACTGCATTCAACTCACAGAGTTGAACAATCCTTTTGATGGAGCAGTTTTGAAACCCTCTTTCTTTGGAATCTGCAAGGGGATATGTGGACCTCTTTGAAGATTTCACTGGAAACGGGATCATCTTCACATAAGAACTAAACAGAAGCATTCTCGGAAACTACTTTGTGATGTTTGTATTCAACTCCCAGAGTTGAACTTTCCTTTTGAAAGAGCAGCTATGAAACACTCTTTTTCGAGAATCTGCAAGTGGACGTTTGGAGGGCTTTGAGGCTGTGGTGGAAAAGGAAATATCTTCACATAAAAACTAGATAGAAGCATTCTCAGAGACTACTTTGTGAGGATGGCATTCAACTCATGGAGTTGAACAATCCTATTGATAGAGCAGATTGGAATCACTCTTTTTGTAGGATCTGCAAATGGAGATTTGGACTGCTTTGAGGCCTACGGTAGTATAGGAAGGAACTTCATATAAAAGGCAAATGGAAGCATTCTCAGAATATTCTTTGTGATGATGGAGTTTCACTCACAGAGCTGAACATGCCTTTTGATGGAGCAGTTTCCAAATACACTTTTGGTAGAATCTGCAGGTGGATATTTGGAGCTCTCTGAGGATTTCGTTGGAAACGGGAATAATTTCCCATAACTAAACACAAACACTCTGAGAAAGTTCTTCATGATGAATGCATTTAACTAACAGAGATGAACCTGCCTTTGAGAGTTCAGGTTCGAAACACTCTTTCTGTAGAATCTGCAAGTGGATATTTGGACCACTGGGTGGCCTTCGTTCGAAACGGGTATATGTTCACGTAAAAACTAAAGAGAAGCATTCTCAGAAACTTCTGAGTGATGATTGCATTCAAGTCACACAGTTGAACCCTCCTTTTGATGGAGCAGTTTTGAAACTGTCTTTTTGTAGAATCTGTAAGTGCATACGTGGACCTCTTTGAAGATTTCTTTGGAAACGGGAATATTTCCACAGAAAAACTAAACTGAAGCATTCTCAGAAACTGCTTTGTGATGTTTGTGTTCGAGCCACAGAGTTTAACATTGCTTTTCATAGAGCAGTTTTGAAATATTCTTTTGGCAGAATCTGCAAGTGGACATTTGGAGCGCTTTCAGGCCTGTGGTGGAAAAGGCCTGAAAGCCTTTTCCTTTATCTTCACAGAAAGACGAGAGAGAAGCATTGTCAGAAACTTCTTTGTGATGATTGCATTCAACTCACAGAGTTGAAGATTCCTTTTGAAACAGCAGTTTCGAAACACTCTTTCTGTGGGATCCGCAAGGGGATATTTGGACCTCTTTGAAGGTTTCGTTGGAAACGGGATAATCTTCACCTAAAAGCTAAACGGAAGCATTCTCAGAAACTTCTTTGGGATGTTTGCATTCACCTCACAGAGTTGAACTTTCCCTTTGATAGCGCAGCTTTGACACACTTTTTCTACAATGTGCAAGTGGCTATTTAGCGGGCTTGGAGGACTGTGTTGGAAAAGGAAATATCTTCTCCTAAAAACGACATAGAAGCATTCTCAGAAACTGCTCTGTGATGATTGCATTCAACTCCCAGAGTTGAACATTCCTTTTGATAGAGCAGTTTGCAAACACTCTTTTTGTAGAATCTGCAAGTGGAGATTTGGACCGCTTTGAGGCCTGTGGTAGTGAAGGAAAGAACTTCATATAAAAACCAGACGGTAGCACTCTCAGAAAATTCTTTGTGACGATGGAGTTTAACTCAGGGAGCTGAACATTCGTTATGATGGAGCAGTTTCCAAACACACGTTTTGTAGAATCTGCAAGGGGATATTTGGACCTCTCTGAGGATTTCGTTGGAAACGGGATCAACTTCCCATAACTGAACGGAAGCAAACTCAGAACATTCTTTGTGATGTTTGTATTCAACTCACAGAGTTGAAACTTCCTTTGATAGTTGAAGTTTGCAACACCCTTGTAGTAGAATCTGCAAGTGTATATTTTGACCACTTTGTAGCCTTCGTTTGAAACGTCTATATCTTCACCTCAAACCTAGACAGAAGCATTCTCAGAAAGTTTTCTGCGATGACTGCATTCAACTCACAGAGTTGAACAATCCTTTTGATGGAGCAGTTTTGAAACCCTCTTTCTTTGGAATCTGCAAGGGGATATGTGGACCTCTTTGAAGATTTCACTGGAAACGGGATCATCTTCACATAAGAACTAAACAGAAGCATTCTCGGAAACTACTTTGTGATGTTTGTATTCAACTCCCAGAGTTGAACTTTCCTTGTGAAAGAGCAGCTATGAAACACTCTTTTTCGAGAATCTGCAAGTGGACGTTTGGAGGGCTTTGAGGCCTGTGGGGAAAAGGAAATATCTTCACATAAAAACTAGATAGAAGCATTCTCAGAAACGACTTTGTGAGGATGGCATTCAACTCATGGAGTTGAACAGTCCTATTGATAGAGCAGATTGGAATCACTCTTTTTGTAGAATCTGCAAATGGAGATTTGGACTGCTTTGAGGCCTACGGTAGTATAGGAAGGAACTTCATATAAAAGGCAAACGGAAGCATTCTCAGAATATTCTTTGTGATGATGGAGTTTCACTCACAGAGCTGAACATGCCTTTTGATGGAGCAGTTTCCAAATACACTTTTGGTAGAATCTGCAGGTGGATATTTGGAGCTCTCTGAGGATTTCGTTGGGAACGGGAATAATTTCCCATAACTAAACACAAACACGCTGAGAAAGTTCTTCATGATGAATGCATTTAACTCGCAGAGATGAACCTGCCTTTGAGAGTTCAGGTTCGAAACACTCTTTCTGTAGAATCTGCAAGTGGATATTTGGACCACTGGCTGGCCTTCGTTCGAAACGGGTATATGTTCACGTAAAAACTAAAGAGAAGCATTCTCAGAAACTTCTGAGTGATGATTGCATTCAAGTCACACAGTTGAACCCTCCTTTTGATTGAGCAGTTTTGAAACTGTCTTTTTGTAGAATCTGTAAGTGGATGCGTGGACCTCTTTGAAGATTTCTTTGGAAACGGGAATATTTCCACAGAAAAACTAAACTGAAGCATTCTCAGAAACTGCTTTGTGATGTTTGTGTTCGAGCCGCAGAGTTTAACATTGCTTTTCATAGAGCAGTTTTGAAATATTCTTTTGGCAGAATCTGCAAGTGGACATTTGGAGCGCTTTCAGGCCTGTGGTGGAAAAGGCCTGAAAGCCTTTTCCTTTATCTTCACAGAAAGACGAGAGAGAAGCATTGTCAGAAACTTCTTTGTGATGATTGCATTCAACTCACAGAGTTGAAGATTCCTTTTGAAACAGCAGTTTCGAAACACTCTTTCTGTGGGAACCGCAAGGGGATATTTGGATCTATTTGAAGGTTTCGTTGGAAACTGGATAATCGTCACCTAAAAGCTAAACGGAAGCATTCTCAGAAACTTCTTTGGGATGTTTGCATTCACCTCACAGAGTTGAACTTTCCCTTTGATAGCGCAGCTTCGACACACTTTTTCTACAATGTGCAAGTGGCTATTTAGCGGGCTTGGAGGACTGTGTTGGAAAAGGAAATATCTTCTCCTAAAAACGACATAGAAGCATTCTCAGAAACTGCTCTGTGATGATTGCATTCAACTCCCAGAGTTGAACATTCCTTTTGATAGAGCAGTTTGCAAACACTCTTTTTGTAGAATCTGCAAGTGGAGATTTGGACCGCTTTGAGGCCTGTGGTAGTAAAGGAAAGAACTTCATATAAAAACTAGACGGTAGCACTCTCAGAAAATTCTTTGTGACGATGGAGTTTAACTCAGAGAGCTGAACATTCGTTATGATGGAGCAGTTTCCAAACACACGTTTTGTAGAATCTGCAAGGGGATATTCGGACCTCTCTGAGGATTTCGTTGGAAACGGGATCAACGTCCCATAACTGAACGGAAGCAAACTCAGAACATTCTTTGTGATGTTTGTATTCAATTCACAGAGTTGAACCTTCCTTTGATAGTTCAGGTTTGCAACACCCTTGTAGTAGAATCTGCAAGTGTATATTTTGACCACTTTGTAGCCTTCGTTTGAAACGTCTATATCTTCACATCAAACCTAGACAGAAGCATTCTCAGAAAGTTTTCTGCGATGACTGCATTCAACTCACAGAGTTGAACAATCCTTTTGCTGGAGCAGTTTTGAAACCCTCTTTCTTTGGAATCTGCAAGGGCATATGTGGACCTCTTTGAAGATTTCACTGGAAACGGGATCATCTTCACATAAAAACTAAACAGAAGCATTCTCGGAAACTACTTTGTGATGTTTGTATTCAACTCCCAGAGTTGAACTTTCCTTTTGAAAGAGCAGCTATGAAACACTCTTTTTCGAGAATCTGCAAGTGGACGTTTGGAGGGCTTTGAGGCCTGTGGTGGAAAAGGAAATATCTTCACATAAAAACTAGATAGAAGCATTCTCAGAAACTACTTTGTGACGATGGCATTCAACTCATGGAGTTGAACAATCCTATTGATAGAGCAGATTGGAATCACTCTTTTTGTAGAATCTGCAAATGGAGATTTGGACTGCTTTGAGGCCTACGGTAGTATGGGAAGGAACTTCATATAAAAGGCAAACGGAAGCATTCTCAGAATATTCTTTGTGATGATGGAGTTTCACTCACAGAGCTGAACATGCCTTTTGATGGAGCAGTTTCCAAATACACTTTTGGTAGAATCTGCAGGTGGATATTTGGAGCTCTCTGAGGATTTCGTTGGAAACGGGAATAATTTCCCATAACTAAACACAAACACTCTGAGAAAGTTCTTCATGATGAATGCATTTAACTCGCAGAGATGAACCTGCCTTTGAGAGTTCAGGTTCGAAACACTCTTTCTGTAGAATCTGCAAGTGGATATTTGGACCACTGGGTGGCCTTCGTTCGAAACGACTATATGTTCACGTAAAAACTAAAGAGAAGCATTCTCAGAAACTTCTGAGTGATGATTGCATTCAAGTCACACAGTTGAACCCTCCTTTTGATGGAGCAGTTTTGAAACTGTCTTTTTGTAGAATCTGTAAGTGGATACGTGGACCTCTTTGAAGATTTCTTTGGAAACGGGAATATTTCCACAGAAAAACTAAACTGAAGCATTCTCAGAAACTGCTTTGTGATGTTTGTGTTCGAGCCACAGAGTTTAACATTGCTTTTCATAGAGCAGTTTTGCAATATTCTTTTCACAGAATCTGCAAGTGGACATTTGGAGCGCTTTCAGGCCTGTGGTGGAAAAGGCCTGAAAGCCTTTTCCTTTATCTTCACAGAAAGACGAGAGAGAAGCATTGTCAGAAACTTCTTTGTGATGATTGCATTCAACTCACAGAGTTGAAGATTCCTTTTGAAACAGCAGTTTCGAAACACTCTTTCTGTGGGATCCGCAAGGGGATATTTGGACCTCTTTGAAGGTTTCGTTGGAAACGGGATAATCTTCACCTAAAAGCTAAACGGAAGCATTCTCAGAAACTTCTTTGGGATGTTTGCATTCACCTCACAGAGTTGAACTTTCCCTTTGATAGCGCAGCTTTGACACACTTTTTCTACAATGTGCAAGTGGATATTTAGCGGGCTTGGAGGACTGTGTTGGAAAAGGAAATATCTTCTAAAAACGACATAGAAGCATTCTCAGAAACTGCTCTGTGATGATTGCATTCAACTCCCAGAGTTGAACATTCCTTTTGATAGAGCAGTTTGCAAACACTCTTTTTGTAGAATCTGCAAGTGGAGATTTGGACCGCTTTGAGGCCTGTGGTAGTGAAGGAAAGAACTTCATATAAAAACCAGACGGTAGCACTCTCAGAAAATTCTTTGTGACGATGGAGTTTAACTCAGGGAGCTGAACATTCGTTATGATGGAGCAGTTTCCAAACACACGTTTTGTAGAATCTGCGAGGGGATATTTGGACCTCTCTGAGGATTTCGTTGGAAACGGGATCAACTTCCCATAACTGAACGGAAGCAAACTCAGAACATTCTTTGTGATGTTTGTATTCAATTCACAGAGTTGAACCTTCCTTTGATAGTTCAGGTTTGCAACACCCTTGTAGTAGAATCTGCAAGTGTATATTTTGACCACTTTGTAGCCTTCGTTTGAAACGTCTATATCTTCACATCAAACCTAGACAGAAGCATTCTCAGAAAGTTTTCTGCGATGACTGCATTCAACTCACAGAGTTGAACAATCCTTCTGATGGAGCAGTTTTTAAACCCTCTTTCTTTGGAATCTGCAAGGGGATATGTGGACCTCTTTGAAGATTTCACTGGAAACGGGATCATCTTCACATAAAAACTAAACAGAAGCATTCTCGGAAACTACTTTGTGATGTTTGTATTCAACTCCCAGAGTTGAACTTTCCTTTTGAAAGAGCAGCTATGAAACACTCTTTTTCGAGAATCTGCAAGTGGACGTTTGGAGGGCTTGGAGGCCTGTGGTGGAAAAGGAAATACCTTCACATAAAAACTAGATAGAAGCATTCTCAGAAACTACTTTGTGAGGATGGCATTCAACTCATGGAGTTGAGCAATCCTATTGATAGAGCAGATTGGAATCACTCTTTTTGTAGAATCTGCAAATGGAGATTTGGACTGCTTTGAGGCCTACGGTCGTATAGGAAGGAACTTCAGATAAAAGGCAAACGGAAGCATTCTCAGAATATTCTTTGTGATGATGGAGTTTCACTCACAGAGCTGAACATGCCTTTTGATGGAGCAGTTTCCAAATACACTTTTGGTAGAATCTGCAGGTGGATATTTGGACCACTCTGAGGATTTCGTTGGAAACGGGAATAATTTCCCATAACTAAACACAAACACTCTGAGAAAGTTCTTCATGATGAATGCATTTAACTCGCAGAGATGAACCTGCCTTTGAGAGTTCAGGTTCGAAACACTCTTTCTGTAGAATCTGCAAGTGGATATTTGGACCACTGGGTGGCCTTCGTTCGAAACGGGTATATGTTCACGTAAAAACTAAAGAGAAGCATTCTCAGAAACTTCTGAGTGATGATTGCATTCAAGTCACACAGTTGAACCCTCCTATTGATGGAGCAGTTTTGAAACTGTCTTTTTGTAGAATCTGTAAGTGGATACGTGGACCTCTTTGAAGATTTCTTTGGAAACGGGAATATTTCCACAGAAAAACTAAACTGAAGCATTCTCAGAAACCGCTTTGTGATGTTTGTGTTCGAGCCACAGAGTTTAACATTGCTTTTCATAGAGCAGTTTTGAAATATTCTTTTCGCAGAATCTGCAAGTGGACATTTGGAGCGCTTTCAGGCCTGTGGTGGCAAAGGCCTGAAAGCCTTTTCCTTTATCTTCACAGAAAGACGAGAGAGAAGCATTGTCAGAAACTTCTTTGTGATGATTGCATTCAACTCACAGAGTTGAAGATTCCTTTTGAAACAGCAGTTTCGAAACACTCTTTCTGTGGGATCCGCAAGGGGATATTTGGACCTCTTTGAAGGTTTCGTTGGAAACGGGATAATCTTCACCTAAAAGCTAAACGGAAGCATTCTCAGAAACTTCTTTGGGATGTTTGCATTCACCTCACAGAGTTGAACTTTCCCTTTGATAGCGCAGCTTTGACACACTTTTTCTACAATGTGCAAGTGGCTATTTAGCGGGCTTGGAGGACTGTGTTGGAAAAGGAAATATCTTCTCCTAAAAACGACATAGAAGCATTCTCAGAAACTGCTCTGTGATGATTGCATTCAACTCCCAGAGTTGAACATTCCTTTTGATAGAGCAGTTTGCAAACACTCTTTTTGTAGAATCTGCAAGTGGAGATTTGGACCGCTTTGAGGCCTGTGGTAGTGAAGGAAAGAACTTCATATAAAAACCATACGGTAGCACTCTCAGAAAATTCTTTGTGACGATGGAGTTTAACTCAGGGAGCTGAACATTCGTTATGATGGAGCAGTTTCCAAACACACGTTTTGTAGAATCTGCAAGGGGATATTTGGACCTCTCTGAGGATTTCGTTGGAAACGGGATCAACTTCCCATAACTGAACGGAAGCAAACTCAGAACATTCTTTGTGATGTTTGTATTCAACTGACGGAGTTGAAACTTCCTTTGATAGTTCAGGTTTGCAACACCCTTGTAGTAGAATCTGCAGGTGTATATTTTGACCACTTTGTAGCCTTCGTTTGAAACGTCTATATCTTCACATCAAACCTAGACAGAAGCATTCTCAGAAAGTTTTCTGCGATGACTGCATTCAACTCACAGAGTTGAACAAACCTTCTGATGGAGCAGTTTTGAAACCCTCTTTCTTTGGAATCTGCAAGGGGATATGTGGACCTCTTTGAAGATTTCACTGGAAACGGGATCATCTTCACATAAAAACTAAACAGAAGCATTCTCGGAAACTACTTTGTGATGTTTGTATTCAACTCCCAGAGTTGAACTTTCCTTTTGAAAGAGCAGCTATGAAACACTCTTTTTCGAGAATCTGCAAGTGGACGTTTGGAGGGCTTTGAGGCCTGTGGTGGAAAAGGAAATATCTTCACATAAAAACTAGATAGAAGCATTCTCAGAAACGACTTTGTGAGGATGGCATTCAACTCATGGAGTTGAACAATCCTATTGATAGAGCAGATTGGAATCACTCTTTTTGTAGAATCTGCAAATGGAGATTTGGACTGCTTTGAGGCCTACGGTAGTATAGGAAGGAACTTCATATAAAAGGCAAACGGAAGCATTCTCAGAATATTTTTGTGATGATGGAGTTTCACTCACAGAGCTGAACATGCCTTTTGATGGAGCAGTTTCCAAATACACTTTTGGTAGAATCTGCAGGTGGATATTTGGAGCTCTCTGAGGATTTCGTTGGAAACGGGAATAATTTCCCATAACTAAACACAAACACTCTGAGAAAGTTCTTCATGATGAATGCATTTAACTCGCAGAGATGAACCTGCCTTTGAGAGTTCAGGTTCGAAACACTCTTTCTGTAGAATCTGCAAGTGGATATTTGGACCACTGGCTGGCCTTCGTTCGAAACGGGTATATGTACACGTAAAAACTAAAGAGAAGCATTCTCAGAAACTTCTGAGTGATGATTGCATTCAAGTCACACAGTTGAACCCTCCTTTTGATGGAGCAGTTTTGAAACTGTCTTTTTGTAGAATCTGTAAGTGGATACGTGGACCTCTTTGAAGATTTCTTTGGAAACGGGAATATTTCCACAGAAAAACTAAACTGAATCATTCTCAGAAACCGCCTTGTGATGTTTGTGTTCGAGCCACAGAGTTTAACATTGCGTTTCATAGAGCAGTTTTGAAATATTCTTTTGGCAGAATCTGCAAGTGGACATTTGGAGCGCTTTCAGGCCTGTGGTGGAAAAGTCCTGAAAGCCTTTTCCTTTACCTTCACAGAAAGACGAGAGAGAAGCATTGTCAGAAACTTCTTTGTGATGATTGCATTCAACTCACAGAGTTGAAGATTCCTTTTGAAACAGCAGTTTCGAAACACTCTTTCTGTGGGATCCGCAAGGGGATATTTGGACCTCTTTGAAGGTTTCGTTGGAAACGGGATAATCTTCACCTAAAAGCTAAACGGAAGCACTCTCAGAAACTTCTTTGGGATGTTTGCATTCACCTCACAGAGTTGAACTTTCCCTTTGATAGCGCAGCTTTGACACACTTTTTCTACAATGTGCAAGTGACTATTTAGCGGGCTTGGAGGACTGTGTTGGAAAAGGAAATATCTTCTCCTAAAAACGACATAGAAGCATTCTCAGAAACTGCTCTGTGATGATTGCATTCAACTCCCAGAGTTGAACATTCCTTTTGATAGAGCAGTTTGCAAACACTCTTTTTGTAGAATCTGCAAGTGGAGATTTGGACCGCTTTGAGGCCTGGGGTAGTGAAGGAAAGAGCTTCATATAAAAACCAGACGGTAGCACTCTCAGAAAATTCTTTGTGACGATGGAGTTTAACTCAGGGAGCTGAACATTCGTTATGATGGAGCAGTTTCCAAACACACGTTTTGTAGTATCTGCAAGGGGATATTTGGACCTCTCTGAGGATTTCGTTGGAAACGGGATCAACTTCCCATAACTGAACGGAAGCAAACTCAGAACATTCTTTGTGATGTTTGTATTCAACTCACAGAGTTGAACCTTCCTTTGATAGTTCAGGTTTGCAACACCCTTGTAGTAGAATCTGCAAGTGTATATTTTGACCACTTTGTAGCCTTCGTTTGAAACGTCTATATCTTCACATCAAACCTAGACAGAAGCATTCTCAGAAAGTTTTCTGCGATGACTGCATTCAACTCACAGAGTTGAACAATCCTTCTGATGGAGCAGTTTTGAAACCCTCTTTCTTTGGAATCTGCAAGGGGATATGTGGACCTCTTTGAAGATTTCACTGGAAACGGGATCATCTTCATATAAAAACTAAACAGAAGCATTCTCGGAAACTATTTTGTGATGTTTGTATTCAACTCCCAGAGTTGAACTTTCCTTTTGAAAGAGCAGCTATGAAACACTCTTTTTCGAGAATCTGCAAGTGGACGTTTGGAGGGCTTTGAGGCCTGTGGTGGAAAAGGAAATATCTTCACACAAAAACCAGATAGAAGCATTCTCAGAAACTACTTTGTGAGGATGGCATTCAAATCATGGAGTTGAACAATCCTATTGATAGAGCAGATTGGAATCACTCTTTTTATAGAATCTGCAAATGGAGATTTGGACTGCTTTGAGGCCTACGGTAGTACAGGAAGGAACTTCATATAAAAGGCAAACGGAAGCATTCTCAGAATATTCTTTGTGATGATGGAGTTTCACTCACAGAGCTGAACATGCCTTTTGATGGAGCAGTTTCCAAATACACTTTTGGTAGAATCTGCAGGTGGATATTTGGAGCTCTCTGAGGATTTCGTTGGAAACGGGAATAATTTCCCATAACTAAACACAAACACTCTGAGAAAGTTCTTCATGATGAATGCATTTAACTCGCAGAGATGAACCTGCCTTTGAGAGTTCAGGTTCGAAATACTCTTTCTGTATAATCTGCAAGTGGATATTTGGACCACTGGGTGGCCTTCGTTCGAAACGGGTATATGTTCACGTAAAAACTAAAGAGAAGCGTTCTCAGCAAACTTCTGAGTGATGATTGCATTCAAGTCACACAGTTGAACCCTCCTTTTGATTGAGCAGTTTTGAAACTGTCTTTTTGTAGAATCTGTAAGTGGATGCGTGGACCTCTTTGAAGATTTCTTTGGAAACGGGAATATTTCCACAGAAAAACTAAACTGAAGCATTCTCAGAAACCGCTTTGTGATGTTTGTGTTCGAGCCGCAGAGTTTAACATTGCTTTTCATAGAGCAGTTTTGAAATATTCTTTTGGCAGAATCTGCAAGTGGACATTTGGAGCGCTTTCAGGCCTGTGGTGGCAAAGGCCTGAAAGCCTTTTCCTTTATCTTCACAGAAAGACGAGAGAGAAGCATTGTCAGAAACTTCTTTGTGATGATTGCATTCAACTCACAGAGTTGAAGATTCCTTTTGAAACAGCAGTTTCGAAACACTCTTTCTGTGGGATCCGCAAGGGGATATTTGGACCTCTTTGAAGGTTTCGTTGGAAACGGGATAATCTTCACCTAAAAGCTAAACGGAAGCATTCTCAGAAACTTCTTTGGGATGTTTGCATTCACCTCACAGAGTTGAACTTTCCCTTTGATAGCGCAGCTTTGACACACTTTTTCTACAATGTGCAAGTGGCTATTTAGCGGGCTTGGAGGACTGTGTTGGAAAAGGAAATATCTTCTCCTAAAAACGACATAGAAGCATTCTCAGAAACTGCTCTGTGATGATTGCATTCAACTCCCAGAGTTGAACATTCCTTTTGATAGAGCAGTTTGCAAACACTCTTTTTGTAGAATCTGCAAGTGGAGATTTGGACCGCTTTGAGGCCAGTGGAAGTGAAGGAAAGAACTTCATATAAAAACCAGACGGTAGCACTCTCAGAAAATTCTTTGTGACGATGGAGTTTAACTCAGGGAGCTGAACATTTGTTATGATGGAGCAGTTTCCAAACACACGTTTTGTAGAATCTGCAAGGGGATATTTGGACCTCTCTGAGGATTTCGTTGGAAACGGGATCAACTTCCCATAACTGAACGGAAGCAAACTCAGAACATTCTTTGTGATGTTTGTATTCAACTCACAGAGTTGAACCTTCCTTTGATAGTTCAGGTTTGCAACACCCTTGTAGTAGAATCTGCAAGTGTATATTTTGACCACTTTGTAGCCTTCATTTGAAACGTCTATATCTTCACATCAAACCTAGACAGAAGCATTCTCAGAAAGTTTTCTGCGATGACTGCATTCAACTCACAGAGTTGAACAATCCTTCTGATGGAGCAGTTTTGAAACCCTCTTTCTTTGGAATCTGCAAGGGGATATGTGGACCTCTTTGAAGATTTCACTGGAAACGGGATCATCTTCACATAAAAACTAAACAGAAGCATTCTCGGAAACTACTTTGTGATGTTTGTATTCAACTCCCAGAGTTGAACTTTCCTTTTGAAAGAGCAGCTATGAAACACTCTTTTTCGAAAATCTGCAAGTGGACGTTTGGAGGGCTTTGAGGCCTGTGGTGGAAAAGGAAATATCTTCACATAAAAACTAGATAGAAGCATTCTCAGAAACTACTTTGTGAGGATGGCATTCAACTCATGGAGTTGAACAATCCTATTGATAGAGCAGATTGGAATCACTCTTTTTGTAGAATCTGCAAATGGAGATTTGGACTGCTTTGAGGCCTACGGTAGTATAGGAAGGAACTTCATATAAAAGGCAAACGGAAGCATTCTCAGAATATTCTTTGTGATGATGGAGTTTCACTCACAGAGCTTAACATGCCTTTTGTTGGAGCAGTTTCCAAATACACTTTTGGTAGAATCTGCAGGTGGATATTTGGAGCTCTCTGAGGATTTCGTTGGAAACGGGAATAATTTCCCATAACTAAACACAAACACTCTGAGAAAGTTCTTCATGATGAATGCATTTAACTCGCAGAGATGAACCTGCCTTTGAGAGTTCAGGTTCGAAACACTCTTTCTGTATAATCTGCAAGTGGATATTTGGACCACTGGGTGGCCTTCGTTCGAAACGGGTATATGTTCACGTAAAAACTAAAGAGAAGCATTCTCAGAAACTTCTGAGTGATGATTGCATTCAAGTCACACAGTTGAACCCTCCTTTTGATTGAGCAGTTTTGAAACTGTCTTTTTGTAGAATCTGTAAGTGGATACGTGGACCTCTTTGAAGATTTCTTTGGAAACGGGAATATTTCCACAGAAAAACTAAACTGAAACATTCTCAGAAACCGCTTTGTGATGTTTGTGTTCCAGCCACAGAGTTTAACATTGCTTTTCATAGAGCAGTTTTGAAATATTCTTTTGGCAGAATCTGCAAGTGGACATTTGGAGCGCTTTCAGGCCTGTGGTGGAAAAGGCCTGAAAGCCTTTTCCTTTATCTTCACAGAAAGACGAGAGAGAAGCATTGTCAGAAACTTCTTTGTGATGATTGCATTCAACTCACAGAGTTGAAGATTCCTTTTGAAACAGCAGTTTCGAAACACTCTTTCTGTGGGATCCGCAAGGGGATATTTGGACCTCTTTGAAGGTTTCGTTGGAAACGGGATAATCTTCACCTAAAAGCTAAACGGAAGCATTCTCAGAAACTTCTTTGGGATGTTTGCATTCACCTCACAGAGTTGAACTTTCCCTTTGATAGCGCAGCTTTGACACACTTTTTCTACAATGTGCAAGTGGCTATTTAGCGGGCTTGGAGGACTGTGTTGGAAAAGGAAATATCTTCTCCTAAAAACGACATAGAAGCATTCTCAGAAACTGCTCTGTGATGATTGCATTCAATTCCCAGAGTTGAACATTCCTTTTGATAGAGCAGTTTGCAAACACTCTTTTTGTAGAATCTGCAAGTGGAGATTTGGACCGCTTTGAGGCCTGTGGTAGTGAAGGAAAGAACTTCATATAAAAACCAGACGGTAGCACTCTCAGAAAATTCTTTGTGACGATGGAGTTTAACTCAGGGAGCTGAACATTCGTTATGATGGAGCAGTTTCCGAACACACGTTTTGTAGAATCTGCAAGGGGATATTTGGACCTCTCTGAGGATTTCGTTGGAAACGGGATCAACTTCCCATAACTGAACGGAAGCAAACTCAGAACATTCTTTGTGATGTTTGTATTCAACTCCCAGAGTTGAAATTTCCTTTTGAAAGAGCAGCTATGAAACACTCTTTTTCGAGAATCTGCAAGTGGACGTTTGGAGGGCTTTGAGGCCTGTGGTGGAAAAGGAAATATCTTCACATAAAAACTAGATAGAAGCATTCTCAGAAACTACTTTGTGAGGATGGCATTCAACTCATGGAGTTGAACAATCCTATTGATAGAGCAGATTGGAATCACTCTTTTTGTAGAATCTGCAAATGGAGATTTGGACTGCTTTGAGGCCTACGGTAGTATAGGAAGGAACTTCATATAAAAGGCAAACGGAAGCATTCTCAGAATATTCTTTGTGATGATGGAGTTTCCCTCACAGAGCTGAACATGCCTTTTGATGGAGCAGTTTCCAAATACACTTTTGGTAGAATCTGCAGGTGGATATTTGGACCTCTCTGAGGATTTCGTTGGAAACGGGAATAATTTCCCATAATTAAACACAAACACTCTGAGAAAGTTCTTCATGATGAATGCATTTAACTCGCAGAGATGAACCTGCCTTTGAGAGTTCAGGTTCGAAACACTCTTTCTGTAGAATCTGCAAGTGGATATTTGGACCACTGGCTGGCCTTCGTTCGAAACGGGTATATGTTCACGTAAAAACTAAAGAGAAGCATTCTCAGAAACTTCTGAGTGATGATTGCATTCAAGTCACACAGTTGAACCCTCCTTTTGATGGAGCAGTTTTGAAACTGTCTTTTTGTAGAATCTGTAAGTGGATACGTGGACCTCTTTGAAGATTTCTTTGGAAACGGGAATATTTCCACAGAAAAACTAAACTGAAACATTCTCAGAAACCGCTTTGTGATGTTTGTGTTCCAGCCACAGAGTTTAACATTGCTTTTCATAGAGCAGTTTTGAAATATTCTTTTCGCAGAATCTGCAAGTGGACATTTGGAGCGCTTTCAGGCCTGTGGTGGAAAAGGCCTGAAAGCCTTTTCCTTTATCTTCACAGAAAGACGAGAGAGAAGCATTGTCAGAAACTTCTTTGTGATGATTGCATTCAACTCACAGAGTTGAAGATTCCTTTTGAAACAGCAGTTTCGAAACACTCTTTCTGTGGGATCCGCAAGGGGATATTTGGACCTCTTTGAAGGTTTCGTTGGAAACGGGATAATCTTCACCTAAAAGCTAAACGGAAGCATTCTCAGAAACTTCTTTGGGATGTTTGCATTCACCTCACAGAGTTGAACTTTCCCTTTGATAGCGCAGCTTTGACACACTTTTTCTACAATGTGCAAGTGGCTATTTAGCGGGCTTGGAGGACTGTGTTGGAAAAGGAAATATCTTCTCCTAAAAACGACATAGAAGCATTCTCAGAAACTGCTCTGTGATGATTGCATTCAACTCCCAGAGTTGAACATTCCTTTTGATAGAGCAGTTTGCAAACACTCTTTTTGTAGAATCTGCAAGTGGAGATTTGGACCGCTTTGAGGCCAGTGGAAGTGAAGGAAAGAACTTCATATAAAAACCAGACGGTAGCACTCTCAGAAAATTCTTTGTGACGATGGAGTTTAACTCAGGGAGCTGAACATTTGTTATGATGGAGCAGTTTCCAAACACACGTTTTGTAGAATCTGCAAGGGGATATTTGGACCTCTCTGAGGATTTCGTTGGAAACGGGATCAACTTCCCATAACTGAACGGAAGCAAACTCAGAACATTCTTTGTGATGTTTGTATTCAACTCACAGAGTTGAACCTTCCTTTGATAGTTCAGGTTTGCAACACCCTTGTAGTAGAATCTGCAAGTGTATATTTTGACCACTTTGTAGCCTTCGTTTGAAACGTCTATATCTTCACATCAAACCTAGACAGAAGCATTCTCAGAAAGTTTTCTGCGATGACTGCATTCAACTCACAGAGTTGAACAATCCTTTTGATGGAGCAGTTTTGAAACCCTCTTTCTTTGGAATCGGCAAGGGGATATGTGGACCTCTTTGAAGATTTCACTGGAAACGGGATCATCTTCACATAAGAACTAAACAGAAGCATACTCGGAAACTACTTTGTGATGTTTGTATTCACCTCCCAGAGTTGAACTTTCCTTTTGAAGGGCAGGTATGAAACACTCTTTTTCGAGAATCTGCAAGTGGACGTTTGGAGGGCTTTGAGGCCTGTGGTGGAAAAGGAAATATCTTCACATAAAAACTAGATAGAAGCATTCTCAGAAACGACTTTGTGAGGATGGCATTCAACTCATGGAGTTGAACAATCCTATTGATAGAGCAGATTGGAATCACTCTTTTTGTAGAATCTGCAAATGGAGATTTGGACTGCTTTGAGGCCTACGGTAGTATAGGAAGGTACTTCATATAAAAGGCAAACGGAAGCATTCTCAGAATATTCTTTGTGATGATGGAGTTTCACTCACAGAGCTGAACATGCCTTTTGATGGAGCAGTTTCCAAATACACTTTTGGTAGAATCTGCAGGTGGATATTTGGACCTCTCTGAAGATTTCGTTGGAAACGGGAATAATTTCCCATACCTAAACACAAACACTCTGAGAAAGTTCTTCATGATGAATGCATTGAACTCGCAGAGATGAACCTGCCTTTGAGAGTTCAGGTTCGAAACACTCTTTCTGTAGAATCTGCAAGTGGATATTTGGACCACTGGCTGGCCTTCGTTCGAAACGGGTATATGTTCACGTAAAAACTAAAGAGAAGCGTTCTCATAAACTTCTGAGTGATGATTGCATTCAAGTCACACAGTTGAACCCTCCTTTTGATTGAGCAGTTTTGAAACTGTCTTTTTGTAGAATCTGTAAGTGGATGCGTGGACCTCTTTGAAGATTTCTTTCGAAACGGGAATATTTCCACAGAAAAACTAAACTGAAGCATTCTCAGAAACTGCTTTGTGATGTTTGTGTTCGAGCCACAGAGTTTAACATTGCTTTTCATAGAGCAGTTTTGAAATATTCTTTTCGCAGAATCTGCAAGTGGACATTTGGAGCGCTTTCAGGCCTGTGGTGGCAAAGGCCTGAAAGCCTTTTCCTTTATCTTCACAGAAAGACGAGAGAGAAGCATTGTCAGAAACTTCTTTGTGATGATTGCATTCAACTCACAGAGTTGAAGATTCCTTTTGAAACAGCAGTTTCGAAACACTCTGTGGGATCCGCAAGGGGATATTTGGACCTCTTTGAAGGTTTCGTTGGAAACGGGATAATCTTCACCTAAAAGCTAAACGGAAGCACTCTCAGAAACTTCTTTGGGATGTTTGCATTCACCTCTCAGAGTTGAACTTTCCCTTTGATAGCGCAGCTTTGACACACTTTTTCTACAATGTGCAAGTGGATATTTAGCGGGCTTGGAGGACTGTGTTGGAAAAGGAAATATCTTCTCCTAAAAACGACATAGAAGCATTCTCAGAAACTGCTCTGTGATGATTGCATTCAACTCCCAGAGTTGAACATTCCTTTTGATAGAGCAGTTTGCAAACACTCTTTTTGTAGAATCTGCAAGTGGAGATTTGGACCGCTTTGAGGCCTGTGGTAGTGAAGGAAAGAACTTCATATAAAAACCAGACGGTAGCACTCTCAGAAAATTCTTTGTGACGATGGAGTTTAACTCAGGGAGCTGAACATTCGTTATGATGGAGCAGTTTCCAAACACACGTTTTGTAGAATCTGCAAGGGGATATTTGGACCTCTCTGAGGATTTCGTTGGAAACGGGATCAACTTCCCATAACTGAACGGAAGCAAACTCAGAACATTCTTTGTGATGTTTGTATTCAACTCACAGAGTTGAACCTTCCTTTGATAGTTCAGGTTTGCAACACCCTTGTAGTAGAATCTGCAAGTGTATATTTTGACCACTTTGTAGCCTTCGTTTGAAACGTCTATATCTTCACATCAAACCTAGACAGAAGCATTCTCAGAAAGTTTTCTGCGATGACTGCATTCAACTCACAGAGTTGAACAATCCTTTTGATGGAGCAGTTTTGAAACCCTCTTTCTTTGGAATCTGCAAGGGGATATGTGGACCTCTTTGAAGATTTCACTGGAAACGGGATCATCTTCACATAAAAACTAAACAGAAGCATTCTCGGAAACTACTTTGTGATGTTTGTATTCAACTCCCAGAGTTGAACTTTCCTTTTGAAAGAGCAGCTATGAAACACTCTTTTTCGAGAATCTGCAAGTGGACGTTTGGAGGGCTTTGAGGCCTGTGGTGGAAAAGGAAATATCTTCACACAAAAACCAGATAGAAGCATTCTCAGAAACGACTTTGTGAGGATGGCATTCAACTCATGGAGTTGAACAATCCTATTGATAGAGCAGATTGGAATCACTCTTTTTGTAGAATCTGCAAATGGAGATTTGGACTGCTTTGAGGCCTACGGTAGTACAGGAAGGAACTTCATATAAAAGGCAAACGGAAGCATTCTCAGAATATTCTTTGTGATGATGGAGTTTCACTGACAGAGCTGAACATGCCTTTTGATGGAGCAGTTTCCAAATACACTTTTGGTAGAATCTGCAGGTGGATATTTGGAGCTCTCTGAGGATTTCGTTGGAAACGGGAATAATTTCCCATAACTAAACACAAACACTCTGAGAAAGTTCTTCATGATGAATGCATTTAACTCGCAGAGATGAACCTGCCTTTGAGAGTTCAGGTTCGAAACACTCTTTCTGTATAATTTGCAAGTGGATATTTGGACCACTGGGTGGCCTTCGTTCGAAACGGGTATATGTTCACGTAAAAACTAAAGAGAAGCATTCTCAGAAACTTCTGAGTGATGATTGCATTCAAGTCACACAGTTGAACCCTCCTTTTGATGGAGCAGTTTTGAAACTGTCTTTTTGTAGAATCTGTAAGTGGATACGTGGACCTCTTTGAAGATTTCTTTGGAAACGGGAATATTTCCACAGAAAAACTAAACTGAAGCATTCTCAGAAACCGCTTTGTGATGTTTGTGTTCGAGCCGCAGAGTTTAACATTGCTTTTCATAGAGCAGTTTTGAAATATTCTTTTGGCAGAATCTGCAAGTGGACATTTGGACCGCTTTCAGGCCTGTGGTGGCAAAGGCCTGAAAGCCTTTTCCTTTATCTTCACAGAAAGACGAGAGAGAAGCATTGTCAGAAACTTCTTTGTGATGATTGCATTCAACTCACAGAGTTGAAGATTCCTTTTGAAACAGCAGTTTCGAAACACTCTTTCTGTGGGATCCGCAAGGGGATATTTGGACCTCTTTGAAGGTTTCGTTGGAAACGGGATAATCCTCACCTAAAAGCTAAACGGGAAGCATTCTCAGAAACTTCTTTGGGATGTTTGCATTCACCTCACAGAGTTGAACTTTCCCTTTGATAGCGCAGCTTTGACACACTTTTTCTACAATGTGCAAGTGGCTATTTAGCGGGCTTGGAGGACTGTGTTGGAAAAGGAAATATCTTCTCCTAAAAACGACATAGAAGCATTCTCAGAAACTGCTCTGTGATGATTGCATTCAACTCCCAGAGTTGAACATTCCTTTTGATAGAGCAGTTTGCAAACACTCTTTTTGTAGAATCTGCAAGTGGAGATTTGGACCGCTTTGAGGTCTGTGGTAGTGAAGGAAAGAACTTCATATAAAAACCACACGGTAGCACTCTCAGAAAATTCTTTGTGACGATGGAGTTTAACTCAGGGAGCTGAACATTCGTTATGATGGAGCAGTTTCCAAACACACGTTTTGTAGAATCTGCAAGGGGATATTTGGACCTCTCTGAGGATTTCGTTGGAAACGGGATCAACTTCCCATAACTGAACGGAAGCAAACTCAGAACATTCTTTGTGATGTTTGTATTCAACTCACAGAGTTGAACCTTCCTTTGATAGTTCAGGTTTGCAACACCCTTGTAGTAGAATCTGCAAGTGTATATTTTGACCACTTTGTAGCCTTTGTTTGAAACGTCTATATCTTCACATCAAACCTAGACAGAAGCATTCTCAGAAAGTTTTCTGCGATGACTGCATTCAACTCACAGAGTTGAACAATCCTTCTGATGGAGCAGTTTTGAAACCCTCTTTCTTTGGAATCTGCAAGGGGATATGTGGACCTCTTTGAAGATTTCACTGGAAACGGGATCATCTTCACATAAAAACTAAACAGAAGCATTCTCGGAAACTATTTTGTGATGTTTGCATTCAACTCCCAGAGTTGAACTTTCCTTTTGAAAGAGCAGCTATGAAACACTCTTTTTCGAGAATCTGCAAGTGGACGTTTGGAGGGCTTTGAGGCCTGTGGTGGAAAAGGAAATATCTTCACACAAAAACCAGATAGAAGCATTCTCAGAAACTACTTTGTGAGGATGGCATTCAACTCATGGAGTTGAACAATCCTATTGATAGAGCAGATTGGAATCACTCTTTTTATAGAATCTGCAAATGGAGATTTGGACTGCTTTGAGGCCTACGGTAGTACAGGAAGGAACTTCAGATAAAAGGCAAACGGAAGCATTCTCAGAATATTCTTTGTGATGATGGAGTTTCACTCACAGAGCTGAACATGCCTTTTGATGGAGCAGTTTCCAAATACACTTTTGGTAGAATCTGCAGGTGGATATTTGGAGCTCTCTGAGGATTTCGTTGGAAACGGGAATAATTTCCCATAACTAAACACAAACACTCTGAGAAAGTTCTTCATGATGAATGCATTTAACTCGCAGAGATGAACCTGCCTTTGAGAGTTCAGGTTCGAAACACTCTTTCTGTAGAATCTGCAAGTGGATATTTGGACCACTGGGTGGCCTTCGTTCGAAACGGGTATATGTTCACGTAAAAACTAAAGAGAAGCATTCTCAGAAACTTCTGAGTGATGATTGCATTCAAGTCACACAGTTGAACCCTCCTTTTGATGGAGCAGTTTTGAAACTGTCTTTTTGTAGAATCTGTAAGTGCATACGTGGACCTCTTTGAAGATTTCTTTGGAAACGGGAATATTTCCACAGAAAAACTAAACTGAAGCATTCTCAGAAACTGCTTTGTGATGTTTGTGTTCGAGCCACAGAGTTTAACATTGCTTTTCATAGAGCAGTTTTGAAATATTCTTTTGGCAGAATCTGCAAGTGGACATTTGGAGCGCTTTCAGGCCTGTGGTGGAAAAGGCCTGAAAGCCTTTTCCTTTATCTTCACAGAAAGACGAGAGAGAAGCATTGTCAGAAACTTCTTTGTGATGATTGCATTCAACCCACAGAGTTGAAGATTCCTTTTGAAACAGCAGTTTCGAAACACTCTTTCTGTGGGATCCGCAAGGGGATATTTGGACCTCTTTGAAGGTTTCGTTGGAAACGGGATAATCTTCACCTAAAAGCTAAACGGAAGCATTCTCAGAAACTTCTTTGGGATGTTTGCATTCACCTCACAGAGTTGAACTTTCCCTTTGATAGCGCAGCTTTGACACACTTTTTCTACAATGTGCAAGTGGCTATTTAGCGGGCTTGGAGGACTGTGTTGGAAAAGGAAATATCTTCTCCTAAAAACGACATAGAAGCATTCTCAGAAACTGCTCTGTGATGATTGCATTCAACTCCCAGAGTTGAACATTCCTTTTGATAGAGCAGTTTGCAAACACTCTTTTTGTAGAATCTGCAAGTGGAGATTTGGACCGCTTTGAGGTCTGTGGTAGTGAAGGAAAGAACTTCATATAAAAACCAGACGGTAGCACTCTCAGAAAATTCTTTGTGACGATGGAGTTTAACTCAGGGAGCTGAACATTCGTTATGATGGAGCAGTTTCCAAACACACGTTTTGTAGAATCTGCAAGGGGATATTTGGACCTCTCTGAGGATTTCGTTGGAAACGGGATCAACTTCCCATAACTGAACGGAAGCAAACTCAGAACATTCTTTGTGATGTTTGTATTCAACTCACAGAGTTGAACCTTCCTTTGATAGTTCAGGTTTGCAACACCCTTGTAGTAGAATCTGCAAGTGTATATTTTGACCACTTTGTAGCCTTCGTTTGAAACGTCTATATCTTCACATCAAACCTAGACAGAAGCATTCTCAGAAAGTTTTCTGCGATGACTGCATTCAACTCACAGAGTTGAACAATCCTTCTGATGGAGCAGTTTTGAAACCCTCTTTCTTTGGAATCTGCAAGGGGATATGTGGACCTCTTTGAAGATTTCACTGGAAACGGGATCATCTTCACATAAAAACTAAACAGAAGCATTCTCGGAAACTACTTTGTGATGTTTGTATTCAACTCCCAGAGTTGAACTTTCCTTTTGAAAGAGCAGCTATGAAACACTCCTTTTCGAGAATCTGCAAGTGGACGTTTGGAGGGCTTTGAGGCCTGTGGTGGAAAAGGAAATATCTTCACATAAAAACTAGATAGAAGCATTCTCAGAAACGACTTTGTGAGGATGGCATTCAACTCATGGAGTTGAACAATCCTATTGATAGAGCAGATTGGAATCACTCTTTTTGTAGAATCTGCAAATGGAGATTTGCACTGCTTTGAGGCCTACGGTCGTATAGGAAGGAACTTCATATAAAAGGCAAACGGAAGCATTCTCAGAATATTCTTTGTGATGATGGAGTTTCACTCACAGAGCTGAACATGCCTTTTGATGGAGCAGTTTCCAAATACACTTTTGGTAGAATCTGCAGGTGGATATTTGGACCTCTCTGAGGATTTCGTTGGAAACGGGAATAATTTCCCATAACTAAACACAAACACTCTGAGAAAGTTCTTCATGATGAATGCATTTAACTCGCAGAGATGAACCTGCCTTTGAGAGTTCAGGTTCGAAACACTCTTTCTGTATAATCTGCAAGTGGATATTTGGACCACTGGGTGGCCTTCGTTCGAAACGGGTATATGTTCACGTAAAAACTAAAGAGAAGCATTCTCAGAAACTTCTGAGTGATGATTGCATTCAAGTCACACGGTTGAACCCTCCTTTTGATGGAGCAGTTTTGAAACTGTCTTTTTGTAGAATCTGTAAGTGGATACGTGGACCTCTTTGAAGATTTCTTTGGAAACGGGAATATTTCCACAGAAAAACTAAACTGAAGCATTCTCAGAAACTGCTTTGTGATGTTTGTGTTCGAGCCACAGAGTTTAACATTGCTTTTCATAGAGCAGTTTTGAAATATTCTTTTGGCAGAATCTGCAAGTGGACATTTGGAGCGCTTTCAGGCCTGTGGTGGCAAAGGCCTGAAAGCCTTTTCCTTTATCTTCACAGAAAGACGAGAGAGAAGCATTGTCAGAAACTTCTTTGTGATGATTGCATTCAACTCACAGAGTTGAAGATTCCTTTTGAAACAGCAGTTTCGAAACACTCTTTCTGTGGGATCCGCAAGGGGATATTTGGACCTCTTTGAAGGTTTCGTTGGAAACGGGATAATCTTCACCTAAAAGCTAAACGGAAGCATTCTCAGAAACTTCTTTGGGATGTTTGCATTCACCTCACAGAGTTGAACTTTCCCTTTGATAGCGCAGCTTTGACACACTTTTTCTACAATGTGCAAGTGGCTATTTAGCGGGCTTGGAGGACTGTGTTGGAAAAGGAAATATCTTCTAAAAACGACATAGAAGCATTCTCAGCAAACTGCTCTGTGATGATTGCATTCAACTCCCAGGAGTTGAACATTCCTTTTGATAGAGCAGTTTGCAAACACTCTTTTTGTAGAATCTGCAAGTGGAGATTTGGACCGCTTTGAGGCCTGTGGTAGTAAAGGAAAGAACTTCATATAAAAACTAGACGGTAGCACTCTCAGAAAATTCTTTGTGACGATGGAGTTTAACTCAGGGAGCTGAACATTCGTTATGATGGAGCAGTTTCCAAACACACGTTTTGTAGAATCTGCAAGGGGATATTTGGACCTCTCTGAGGATTTCGTTGGAAACGGGATCAGCTTCCCATAACTGAACGGAAGCAAACTCAGAACATTCTTTGTGATGTTTGTATTCAATTCACAGAGTTGAACCTTCCTTTGATAGTTCAGGTTTGCAACACCCTTGTAGTAGAATCTGCAAGTGTATATTTTGACCACTTTGTAGCCTTCGTTTGAAACGTCTATATCTTCACATCAAACCTAGACAGAAGCATTCTCAGAAAGTTTTCTGCGATGACTGCATTCCACTCACAGAGTTGAACAATCCTTCTGATGGAGCAGTTTTGAAACCCTCTTTCTTTGGAATCTGCAAGGGGATATGTGGACCTCTTTGAAGATTTCACTGGAAACGGGATCATCTTCACATAAAAACTAAACAGAAGCATTCTCGGAAACTACTTTGTGATGTTTGTATTCAACTCCCAGAGTTGAACTTTCCTTTTGAAAGAGCAGCTATGAAACACTCTTTTTCGAGAATCTGCAAGTGGACGTTTGGAGGGCTTTGAGGCCTGTGGTGGAAAAGGAAATATCTTCACATAAAAACTAGATAGAAGCATTCTCAGAAACTACTTTGTGAGGATGGCATTCAACTCATGGAGTTGAACAATCCTATTGATAGAGCAGATTGGAATCACTCTTTTTATAGAATCTGCAAATGGAGATTTGGACTGCTTTGAGGCCTACGGTAGTACAGGAAGGAACTTCATATAAAAGGCAAACGGAAGCATTCTCAGAATATTCTTTGTGATGATGGAGTTTCACTCACAGAGCTGAACATGCTTTTTGATGGAGCAGTTTCCAAATACACTTTTGGTAGAATCTGCAGGTGGATATTTGGAGCTCTCTGAGGATTTCGTTGGAAACGGGAATAATTTCCCATAACTAAACACAAACACTCTGAGAAAGTTCTTCATGATGAATGCATTTAACTCGCAGAGATGAACCTGCCTTTGAGAGTTCAGGTTCGAAACACTCTTTCTGTAGAATCTGCAAGTGGATATTTGGACCACTGGGTGGCCTTCGTTCGAAACGGGTATATGTTCACGTAAAAACTAAAGAGAAGCATTCTCAGAAACTTCTGAGTGATGATTGCATTCAAGTCACACAGTTGAACCCTCCTTTTGATGGAGCAGTTTTGAAACTGTCTTTTTGTAGAATCTGTAAGTGGATGCGTGGACCTCTTTGAAGATTTCTTTGGAAACGGGAATATTTCCACAGAAAAACTAAACTGAAGCATTCTCAGAAACTGCTTTGTGATGTTTGTGTTCGAGCCACAGAGTTTAACATTGCTTTTCATAGAGCAGTTTTGAAATATTCTTTTGGCAGAATCTGCAAGTGGACATTTGGAGCGCTTTCAGGCCTGTGGTGGAAAAGGCCTGAAAGCCTTTTCCTTTATCTTCACAGGAAGACGAGAGAGAAGCATTGTCAGAAACTTCTTTGTGATGATTGCATTCAACTCACAGAGTTGAAGATTCCTTTTGAAACAGCAGTTTCGAAACACTCTTTCTGTGGGATCCGCAAGGGGATATTTGGACCTCTTTGAAGGTTTCGTTGGAAACGGGATAATCTTCACCTAAAAGCTAAACGGAAGCATTCTCAGAAACTTCTTTGGGATGTTTGCATTCACCTCACAGAGTTGAACTTTCCCTTTGATAGCGCAGCTTTGACACACTTTTTCTACAATGTGCAAGTGGCTATTTAGCGGGCTTAGAGGACTGTGTTGGAAAAGGAAATATCTTCTCCTAAAAACGACATAGAAGCATTCTCAGAAACTGCTCTGTGATGATTGCATTCAACTCCCAGAGTTGAACATTCCTTTTGATAGAGCAGTTTGCAAACACTCTTTTTGTAGAATCTGCAAGTGGAGATTTGGACCGCTTTGAGGCCTGTGGTAATAAAGGAAAGAACTTCATATAAAAACCAGACGGTAGCACTCTCAGAAAATTCTTTGTGACGATGGAGTTTAACTCAGAGAGCTGAACATTCGTTATGATGGAGCAGTTTCCAAACACACGTTTTGTAGAATCTGCAAGGGGATATTTGGACCTCTCTGAGGATTTCGTTGGAAACGGTATCAATTTCCCATAACTAAACGGAAGCAAACTCAGAACATTCTTTGTGATGTTTGTATTCAACTCACAGCAGTTGAACCTTCCTTTGATAGTTCAGGTTTGCAACACCCTTGTAGTAGAATCTGCAAGTGTATATTTTGACCACTTTGTAGCCTTCGTTTGAAACGTCTATATCTTCACATCAAACCTAGACAGAAGCATTCTCAGAAAGTTTTCTGCGATGACTGCATTGAACTCACAGAGTTGAACAATCCTTCTGATGGAGCAGTTTTTAAACCCTCTTTCTTTGGAATCTGCAATGGGATATGTGGACCTCTTTGAAGATTTCACTGGAAACGGGATCATCTTCACATAAAAACTAAACAGAAGCATTCTCGGAAACTATTTTGTGATGTTTGTATTCAACTCCCAGAGTTGAACTTTCCTTTTGAAAGAGCAGCTATGAAACACTCTTTTTCGAGAATCTGCAAGTGGACGTTTGGAGGGCTTTGAGGCCTGTGGTGGAAAAGGAAATATCTTCACACAAAAACCAGATAGAAGCATTCTCAGAAACGACTTTGTGAGGATGGCATTCAACTCATGGAGTTGAACAATCCTATTGATAGAGCAGATTGGAATCACTCTTTTTGTAGAATCTGCAAATGGAGATTTGGACTGCTTTGAGGCCTACGGTAGTACAGGAAGGAACTTCATATAAAAGGCAAACGGAAGCATTCTCAGAATATTCTTTGTGATGATGGAGTTTCACTCACAGAGCTGAACATGCCTTTTGATGGAGCAGTTTCCAAATACACTTTTGGTAGAATCTGCAGGTGGATATTTGGAGCTCTCTGAGGATTTCGTTGGAAAAGGGAATAATTTCCCATAACTAAACACAAACACTCTGAGAAAGTTCTTCATGATGAATGCATTTAACTCGCAGAGATGAACCTGCCTTTGAGAGTTCAGGTTCGAAACACTCTTTCTGTATAATCTGCAAGTGGATATTTGGACCACTGGGTGGCCTTCGTTCGAAACGGGTATATGTTCACGTAAAAACTAAAGAGAAGCATTCTCAGAAACTTCTGAGTGATGATTGCATTCAAGTCACACAGTTGAACCCTCCTTTTGATGGAGCAGTTTTGAAACTGTCTTTTTGTAGAATCTGTAAGTGGATACGTGGACCCCCTTTGAAGATTTCTTTGGAAACGGGAATATTTCCACAGAAAAACTAAACTGAAGCATTCTCAGAAACGGCTTTGTGATGTTTGTGTTCGAGCCACAGAGTTTAACATTGCTTTTCGTAGAGCAGCTTTGAAATATTCTTTTGGCAGAATCTGCAAGTGGACATTTGGAGCGCTTTCAGGCCTGTGGTGGAAAAGGCCTGAAAGCCTTTTCCTTTATCTTCACAGAAAGACGAGAGAGAAGCATTGTCAGAAACTTCTTTGTGATGATTGCATTCAACTCACAGAGTTGAAGATTCCTTTTGAAACAGCAGTTTCGAAACACTCTTTCTGTGGGATCCGCAAGGGGATATTTGGACCTCTTTGAAGATTTCGTTGGAAACGGGATAATCTTCACCTAAAAGCTAAACGGAAGCATTCTCAGAAACTTCTTTGGGATGTTTGCATTCACCTCACAGAGTTGAACTTTCCCTTTGATAGCGCAGCTTCGACACCCTTTTTCTACAATGTGCAAGTGGATATTTAGCGGGCTTGGAGGACTGTGTTGGAAAAGGAAATATCTTCTCCTAAAAACGACATAGAAGCATTCTCAGAAACTGCTCTGTGATGATTGCATTCAACTCCCAGCGTTGAACATTCCTTTTGATAGAGCAGTTTGCAAACACTCTTTTTGTAGAATCTGCAAGTGGAGATTTGGAACGCTTTGAGGCCTGTGGTAGTAAAGGAAAGAACTTCATATAAAAACCAGACGGTAGCACTCTCAGAAAATTCTTTGTGACGATGGAGTTTAACTCAGAGAGCTGAACATTCGTTATGATGGAGCAGTTTCCAAACACACGTTTTGTAGAATCTGCAAGGGGATATTTGGACCTCTCTGAGGATTTCGTTGGAAATGGGATCAACTTCCCATAACTGAACGGAAGCAAACTCAGAACATTCTTTGTGATGTTTGTATTCAACTCACAGAGTTGAACCTTCCTTTGATAGTTCAGGTTTGCAACACCCTTGTAGTAGAATCTGCAAGTGTATATTTTGACCACTTTGTAGCCTTCGTTTGAAACGTCTATATCTTCACCTCAAACCTAGACAGAAGCATTCTCAGAAAGTTTTCTGCGATGACTGCATTCAACTCACAGAGTTGAACAATCCTTTTGATGGAGCAGTTTTGAAACCCTCTTTCTTTGGAATCTGCAAGGGGATATGTGGACCTCTTTGAAGATTTCACTGGAAACGGGATCATCTTCACATAAGAACTAAACAGAAGCATTCTCGGAAACTACTTTGTGATGTTTGTATTCAACTCCCAGAGTTGAACTTTCCTTTTGAAAGAGCAGCTATGAAACACTCTTTTTCGAGAATCTGCAAGTGGACGTTTGGAGGGCTTTGAGGCCTGTGGTGGAAAAGGAAATATCTTCACATAAAAACTAGATAGAAGCATTCTCAGAAACTACTTTGTGAGGATGGCATTCAACTCATGGAGTTGAACAATCCTATTGATAGAGCAGATTGGAATCACTCTTTTTGTAGAATCTGCAAATGGAGATTTGGACTGCTTTGAGGCCTATGGTAGTATAGGAAGGAACTTCATATAAAAGGCAAACGGAAGCATTCTCAGAATATTCTTTGTGATGATGGAGTTTCACTCACAGAGCTGAACATGCCTTTTGATGGAGCAGTTTCCAAATACACTTTTGGTAGAATCTGCAGGTGGATATTTGGAGCTCTCTGAGGATTTCGTTGGAAACGGGAATAATTTCCCATAACTAAACACAAACACGCTGAGAAAGTTCTTCATGATGAATGCATTTAACTCGCAGAGATGAACCTGCCTTTGAGAGTTCAGGTTTGAAACACTCTTTCTGTAGAATCTGCAAGTGGATATTTGGACCACTGGCTGGCCTTCGTTCGAAACGGGTATATGTTCACGTAAAAACTAAAGAGAAGCGTTCTCAGAAACTTCTGAGTGATGATTGCATTCAAGTCACACAGTTGAACCCTCCTTTTGATTGAGCAGTTTTGAAACTGTCTTTTTGTAGAATCTGTAAGTGGATGCGTGGACCTCTTTGAAGATTTCTTTGGAAACGGGAATATTTCCACAGAAAAACTAAACTGAAGCATTCTCAGAAACTGCTTTGTGATGTTTGTGTTCGAGCCGCAGAGTTTAACATTGCTTTTCATAGAGCAGTTTTGAAATATTCTTTTGGCAGAATCTGCAAGTGGACATTTGGAGCGCTTTCAGGCCTGTGGTGGAAATGGCCTGAAAGCCTTTTCCTTTATCTTCACAGAAAGACGAGAGAGAAGCATTGTCAGAAACTTCTTTGTGATGATTGCATTCAACTCACAGAGTTGAAGATTCCTTTTGAAACAGCAGTTTCGAAACACTCTTTCTGTGGGATCCGCAAGGGGATATTTGGACCTCTTTGAAGATTTCGTTGGAAACGGGATAATCTTCACTTAAAGCTAAACGGAAGCATTCTCAGAAACTTCTTTGGGATGTTTGCATTCACCTCACAGAGTTGAACTTTCCCTTTGATAGCGCAGCTTCGACACACTTTTTCTACAATGTGCAAGTGGATATTTAGCGGGCTTGGAGGACTGTGTTGGAAAAGGAAATATCTTCTCCTAAAAACGACATAGAAGCATTCTCAGAAACTGCTCTGTGATGATTGCATTCAACTCCCAGAGTTGAACATTCCTTTTGATAGAGCAGTTTGCAAACACTCTTTTTGTAGAATCTGCAAGTGGAGATTTGGACCGCTTTGAGGCCTGTGGTAGTAAAGGGAAGAACTTCATATAAAAACCAGACGGTAGCACTCTCAGAAAATTCTTTGTGACGATGGAGTTTAACTCAGAGAGCTGAACATTCGTTATGATGGAGCAGTTTCCAAACACACGTTTTGCAGAATCTGCAAGGGGATATTTGGACCTCTCTGAGGATTTCGTTGGAAACGGGATCAACTTCCCATAACTGAACGGAAGCAAACTCAGAACATTCTTTGTGATGTATGTTTGTATTCAACTCACAGAGTTGAACCTTCCTTTGAGAGTTCAGGTTTGCAACACCCTTGTAGTAGAATCTGCAAGAGTATATTTTGACCACTTTGTAGCCTTCGTTTGAAACGTCTATATCTTCACATCAAACCTAGACAGAAGCATTCTCAGAAAGTTTTCTGCGATGACTGCATTCAACTCACAGAGTTGAACAATCCTTTTGATGGAGCAGTTTTGAAACCCTCTTTCTTTGGAATCTGCAAGGGGATATGTGGACCTCTTTGAAGATTTCACTGGAAACGGGATCATCTTCACATAAGAACTAAACAGAAGCATTCTCGGAAACTACTTTGTGATGTTTGTATTCAACTCCCAGAGTTGAACTTTCCTTTTGAAAGAGCAGCTATGAAACACTCTTTTTCGAGAATCTGCAAGTGGACGTTTGGAGGGCTTTGAGGCCTGTGGTGGAAAAGGAAATATCTTCACATAAAAACTAGATAGAAGCATTCTCAGAAACGACATTGTGAGGATGGCATTCAACTCATGGAGTTGAACAATCCTATTGATAGAGCAGATTGGAATCACTCTTTTTGTAGAATCTGCAAATGGAGATTTCGACTGCTTTGAGGCCTACGGTAGTATAGGAAGGAACTTCATATAAAAGGCAAACGGAAGCATTCTCAGAATATTCTTTGTGATGATGGAGTTTCACTCACAGAGCTGAACATGCCTTTTGATGGAGCAGTTTCCAAATACACTTTTGGTAGAATCTGCAGGTGGATATTTGGACCTCTCTGAGGATTTCGTTGGAAAAGGGAATAATTTCCCATAACTAAATACAAACACTCTGAGAAAGTTCTTCATGATGAATGCATTTAACTCGCAGAGATGAACCTGCCTTTGAGAGTTCATGTTCGAAACACTCTTTCTGTAGAATCTGCAAGTGGATATTTCGACCACTGGCTGGCCTTCGTTCGAAACGGGTATATGTTCACGTAAAAACTAAAGAGAAGCATTCTCAGAAACTTCTGAGTGATGATTGCATTCAAGTCACACAGTTGAACCCTCCTTTTGATGGAGCAGTTTTGAAACTGTCTTTTTGTAGAATCTGTAAGTGGATACGTGGACCTCTTTGAAGATTTCTTTGGAAACGGGAATATTTCCACAGAAAAACTAAACTGAATCATTCTCAGAAACTGCTTTGTGATGTTTGTGTTCGAGCCACAGAGTTTAACATTGCTTTTCATAGAGCAGTTTTGAAATATTCTTTTCGCAGAATCTGCAAGTGGACATTTGGAGCGCTTTCAGGCCTGTGGTGGAAAAGGCCTGAAAGCCTTTTCCTTTATCTTCACAGAAAGACGAGAGAGAAGCATTGTCAGAAACTTCTTTGTGATGATTGCATTCAACTCACAGAGTTGAAGATTCCTTTTGAAACAGCAGTTTCGAAACACTCTTTCTGTGGGATCCGCAAGGGGATATTTGGACCTCTTTGAAGGTTTCGTTGGAAACGGGATAATCTTCACCTAAAAGCTAAACGGAAGCATTCTCAGAAACTTCTTTGGGATGTTTGCATTCACCTCACAGAGTTGAACTTTCCCTTTGATAGCGCAGCTTTGACACACTTTTTCTACAATGTGCAAGTGGCTATTTAGCGGGCTTGGAGGACTGTGTTGGAAAAGGAAATATCTTCTCCTAAAAACGACATAGAAGCACTCTCAGAAAATTCTTTGTGACGATGGAGTTTAACTCAGGGAGCTGAACATTCGTTATGATGGAGCAGTTTCCAAACACACGTTTTGTAGAATCTGCAAGGGGATATTTGGACCTCTCTGAGGATTTCGTTGGAAACGGGATCAACTTCCCATAACTGAACGGAAGCAAACTCAGAACATTCTTTGTGATGTTTGTATTCAACTCACAGAGTTGAACCTTCCTTTGATAGTTCAGGTTTGCATCACCCTTGTAGTAGAATCTGCAAGTGTATATTTTGACCACTTTGTAGCCTTCGTTTGAAACGTCTATATCTTCACATCAAACCGAGACAGAAGCATTCTCAGAAAGTTTTCTGCGATGACTGCATTCAACTCACAGAGTTGAACAATCCTTTTGATGGAGCAGTTTTGAAACCCTCTTTCTTTGGAATCTGCAAGGGGATATGTGGACCTCTTTGAAGATTTCACTGGAAACGGGATCATCTTCACATAAGAACTAAACAGAAGCATTCTCAGAAACTACTTTGTGATGTTTGTATTCAGCTCCCAGAGTTGAACTTTCCTTTTGAAAGAGCAGCTATGAAACACTCTTTTTCGAGAATCTGCAAGTGGACGTTTGGAGGGCTTTGAGGCCTGTGGTGGAAAAGGAAATATCTTCACATAAAAACTAGATAGAAGCATTCTCAGAAACGACTTTGTGAGGATGGCATTCAACTCATGGAGTTGAACAATCCTATTGATAGAGCAGATTGGAATCACTCTTTTTGTAGAATCTGCAAATGGAGATTTGGACTGCTTTGAGGCCTACGGTAGTATAGGAAGGAACTTCATATAAAAGGCAAACGGAAGCATTCTCAGAATATTCTTTGTGATGATGGAGTTTCACTCACAGAGCTGAACATGCCTTTTGATGGAGCAGTTTCCAAATACACTTTTGGTAGAATCTGCAGGTGGATATTTGGAGCTCTCTGAGGATTTCGTTGGAAACGGGAATAATTTCCCATAACTAAACACAAACACGCTGAGAACGTTCTTCATGATGAATGCATTGAACTCGCAGAGATGAACCTGCCTTTGAGAGTTCAGGTTCGAAACACTCTTTCTGTAGAATCTGCAAGTGGATATTTGGACCACTGGCTGGCCTTCGTTCGAAACGGGTATATGTTCACGTAAAAACTAAAGAGAAGCGTTCTCAGAAACTTCTGAGTGATGATTGCATTCAAGTCACACAGTTGAACCCTCCTTTTGATTGAGCAGTTTTGAAACTGTCTTTTTGTAGAATCTGTAAGTGGATGCGTGGACCTCTTTGAAGATTTCTTTGGAAACGGGAATATTTCCACAGAAAAACTAAACTGAAGCATTCTCAGAAACTGCTTTGTGATGTTTGTGTTCGAGCCACAGAGTTTAACATTGCTTTTCGTAGAGCAGCTTTGAAATATTCTTTTGGCAGAATCTGCAAGTGGACATTTGGAGCGCTTTCAGGCCTGTGGTGGAAAAGGCCTGAAAGCCTTTTCCTTTATCTTCACAGAAAGACGAGAGAGAAGCATTGTCAGAAACTTCTTTGTGATGATTGCATTCAACTCACAGAGTTGAAGATTCCTTTTGAAACAGCAGTTTCGAAACACTCTTTCTGTGGGATCCGCAAGGGGATATTTGGACCTCTTTGAAGATTTCGTTGGAAACGGGATAATCTTCACCTAAAAGCTAAACGGAAGCATTCTCAGAAACTTCTTTGGGATGTTTGCATTCACCTCACAGAGTTGAACTTTCCCTTTGATAGCGCAGCTTCGACACACTTTTTCTACAATGTGCAAGTGGATATTTAGCGGGCTTGGAGGAATGTGTTGGAAAAGGAAATATCTTCTCCTAAAAACCACATAGAAGCATTCTCAGAAACTGCTCTGTGATGATTGCATTCAACTCCCAGAGTTGAACATTCCTTTTGATAGAGCAGTTTGCAAACACTCTTTTTGTAGAATCTGCAAGTGGAGATTTGGACCGCTTTGAGGCCTGTGGTAGTGAAGGAAAGAACTTCATATAAAAACCAGACGGTAGCACTCTCAGAAAATTCTTTGTGACGATGGAGTTTAACTCAGGGGAGCTGAACATTCGTTATGATGGAGCAGTTTCCAAACACACGTTTTGTAGAATCTGCGAGGGGATATTTGGACCTCTCTGAGGATTTCGTTGGAAACGGGATCAACTTCCCATAACTGAACGGAAGCAAACTCAGAACATTCTTTGTGATGTTTGTATTCAACTCACAGAGTTGAACCTTCCTTTGATAGTTCAGGTTTGCAACACCCTTGTAGTAGAATCTGCAAGTGTATATTTTGACCACTTTGTAGCCTTCGTTTGAAACGTCTATATCTTCACATCAAACCTAGACAGAAGCATTCTCAGAAAGTTTTCTGCGATGACTGCATTCAACTCACAGAGTTGAACAATCCTTCTGATGGAGCAGTTTTGAAACCCTCTTTCTTTGGAATCTGCAAGGGGATATGTGGACCTCTTTGAAGATTTCACTGGAAACGGGATCATCTTCACATAAAAACTAAACAGAAGCATTCTCGGAAACTACTTTGTGATGTTTGTATTCAACTCCCAGAGTTGAACTTTCCTTTTGAAAGAGCAGCTATGAAACACTCTTTTTCGAGAATCTGCAAGTGGACGTTTGGAGGGCTTTGAGGCCTGTGGTGGAAAAGGAAATATCTTCACATAAAAACTAGATAGAAGCATTCTCAGAAACGACTTTGTGAGGATGGCATTCAACTCATGGAGTTGAACAATCCTATTGATAGAGCAGATTGGAATCACTCTTTTTGTAGAATCTGCAAATGGAGATTTGGACTGCATTGAGGCCTACGGTCGTATAGGAAGGAACTTCAGATAAAAGGCAAACGGAAGCATTCTCAGAATATTCTTTGTGATGATGGAGTTTCACTCACAGAGCTGAACATGCCTTTTGATGGAGCAGTTTCCAAATACACTTTTGGTAGAATCTGCAGGTGGATATTTGGAGCTCTCTGAGGATTTCGTTGGAAACGGGAATAATTTCCCATAACTAAACACAAACACGCTGAGAAAGTTCTTCATGATGAATGCATTTAACTCGCAGAGATGAACCTGCCTTTGAGAGTTCAGGTTCGAAACACTCTTTCTGTAGAATCTACAAGTGGATATTTGGACCACTGGCTGGCCTTCGTTCGAAACGGGTATATGTTCACGTAAAAACTAAAGAGAAGCGTTCTCAGAAACTTCTGAGTGATGATTGCATTCAAGTCACACAGTTGAACCCTCCTTTTGATTGAGCAGTTTTGAAACTGTCTTTTTGTAGAATCTGTAAGTGGATGCGTGGACCTCTTTGAAGATTTCTTTGGAAACGGGAATATTTCCACAGAAAAACTAAACTGAAGCATTCTCAGAAACTGCTTTGTGATGTTTGTGTTCGAGCCACAGAGTTTAACATTGCTTTTCATAGAGCAGTTTTGAAATATTCTTTTGGCAGAATCTGCAAGTGGACATTTGGAGCGCTTTCAGGCCTGTGGTGGAAAAGGCCTGAAAGCCTTTTCCTTTATCTTCACAGAAAGACGAGAGAGAAGCATTGTCAGAAACTTCTTTGTGATGATTGCATTCAACTCACAGAGTTGAAGATTCCTTTTGAAACAGCAGTTTCGAAACACTCTTTCTGTGGGATCCGCAGGGGGATATTTGGACCTCTTTGAAGATTTCGTTGGAAACGGGATAATCTTCACCTAAAAGCTAAACGGAAGCATTCTCAGAAACTTCTTTGGGATGTTTGCATTCACCTCACAGAGTTGAACTTTCCCTTTGATAGCGCAGCTTCGACACACTTTTTCTACAATGTGCAAGTGGATATTTAGCGGGCTTCGAGGACTGTGTTGGAAAAGGAAGTATCTTCTCCTAAAAACGACATAGAAGCATTCTCAGAAACTGCTCTGTGATGATTGCATTCAACTCCCAGAGTTGAACATTCCTTTTGATAGAGCAGTTTGCAAACACTCTTTTTGTAGAATCTGCAAGTGGAGATTTGGACCGCCTTGAGGCCTGTGGTAGTAAAGGAAAGAACTTCATATAAAAACTAGACGGTAGCACTCTCAGAAAATTCTTTGTGACGATGGAGTTTAACTCAGAGAGCTGAACATTCGTTATGATGGAGCAGTTTCCAAACACACGTTTTGTAGAATCTGCAAGGGGATATTTGGACCTCTCTGAGGATTTCGTTGGAAACGGGATCAACTTCCCATAACTGAACGGTAGCAAACTCAGAACATTCTTTGTGATGTTTGTATTCAACTCACAGAGTTGAACCTTCCTTTGATAGTTCAGGTTTGCATCACCCTTGTAGTAGAATCTGCAAGTGTATATGTTGACCACTTTGTAGCCTTCGTTTGAAACGTCTATATCTTCACATCAAACCTAGACAGAAGCATTCTCAGAAAGTTTTCTGCGATGACTGTATTCAACTCACAGAGTTGAACAATCCTTTTGATGGAGCAGTTTTGAAACCCTCTTTCTTTGGAATCTGCAAGGGGATATGTGGACCTCTTTGAAGATTTCACTGGAAACGGGATCATCTTCACATAAGAACTAAACAGAAGCATTCTCGGAAACTACTTTGTGATGTTTGTATTCAGCTCCCAGAGTTGAACTTTCCTTTTGAAAGAGCAGCTATGAAACACACTTTTTCGAGAATCTGCAAGTGGACGTTTGGAGGGCTTTGAGGCCTGTGGTGGAAAAGGAAATATCTTCACATAAAAACTAGATAGAAGCATTCTCAGAAACTACTTTGTGACGATGGCATTCAACTCATGGAGTTGAACAATCCTATTGATAGAGCAGATTGGAATCACTCTTTTTGTAGAATCTGCAAATGGAGATTTGGACTGCTTTGAGGCCTACGGTAGTATAGGAAGGAACTTCATAAAAAGGCAAACGGAAGCATTCTCAGAATATTCTTTGTGATGATGGAGTTTCACTCACAGAGCTGAACATGCCTTTTGATGGAGCAGTTTCCAAATACACTTTTGGTAGAATCTGCAGGTGGATATTTGGAGCTCTCTGAGGATTTCGTTGGAAACGGGAATAATTTCCCATAACTAAACACAAACACTCTGAGAAAGTTCTTCATGATGAATGCATTTAACTCGCAGAGATGAACCTGCCTTTGAGAGTTCAGGTTCGAAACATTCTTTCTGTAGAATCTGCAAGTGGATATTTGGACCACTGGCTGGCCTTGGTTCGAAAAGGTTATATGTTCACGTAAAAACTAAAGAGAAGCATTCTCAGAAACTTCTGAGTGATGATTGCATTCAAGTCACACGGTTGAACCCTCCTTTTGATGGAGCAGTTTTGAAACTGTCTTTTTGTAGAATCTGTAAGTGGATACGTGGACCTCTTTGAAGATTTCTTTGGAAACGGGAATATTTCCACAGAAAAACTAAACTGAAGCATTCTCAGAAACCGCTTTGTGATGTTTGTGTTCGAGCCACAGAGTTTAACATTGCTTTTCATAGAGCAGTTTTGAAATATTCTTTTCGCAGAATCTGCAAGTGGACATTTGGAGCGCTTTCAGGCCTGTGGTGGAAAAGGCCTGAAAGCCTTTTCCTTTATCTTCACAGAAAGACGAGAGAGAAGCATTGTCAGAAACTTCTTTGTGATGATTGCATTCAACTCACAGAGTTGAAGATTCCTTTTGAAACAGCAGTTTCGAAACACTCTTTCTGTGGGATCCGCAAGGGGATATTTGGACCTCTTTGAAGGTTTCGTTGGAAACGGGATAATCTTCACCTAAAAGCTAAACGGAAGCATTCTCAGAAACTTCTTTGGGATGTTTGCATTCACCTCACAGAGTTGAACTTTCCCTTTGATAGCGCAGCTTTGACACACTTTTTCTACAATGTGCAAGTGGCTATTTAGCGGGCTTGGAGGACTGTGTTGGAAAAGGAAATATCTTCTCCTAAAAACGACATAGAAGCATTCTCAGAAACTGCTCTGTGATGATTGCATTCAACTCCCAGAGTTGAACATTCCTTTTGATAGAGCAGTTTGCAAACACTCTTTTTGTAGAATCTGCAAGTGGAGATTTGGACCGCTTTGACGCCTGTGGTAGTGAAGGAAAGAACTTCATATAAAAACCAGACGGTAGCACTCTCAGAAAATTCTTTGTGACGATGGAGTTTAACTCAGGGAGCTGAACATTCGTTATGATGGAGCAGTTTCCAAACACACGTTTTGTAGAATCTGCAAGGGGATATTTGGACCTCTCTGAGGATTTCGTTGGAAACGGGATCAACTTCCCATAACTGAACGGAAGCAAACTCAGAACATTCTTTGTGATGTTTGTATTCAACTCACAGAGTTGAACCTTCCTTTGATAGTTCAGGTTTGCAACACCCTTGTAGTAGAATCTGCAAGTGTATATTTTGACCACTTTGTAGCCTTCGTTTGAAACGTCTATATCTTCACATCAAACCTAGACAGAAGCATTCTCAGAAAGTTTTCTGCGATGACTGCATTCAACTCACAGAGTTGAACAATCCTTCTGATGGAGCAGTTTTGAAACCCTCTTTCTTTGGAATCTGCAAGGGGATATGTGGACCTCTTTGAAGATTTCACTGGAAACGGGATCATCTTCACATAAAAACTAAACAGAAGCATTCTCGGAAACTATTTTGTGATGTTTGCATTCAACTCCCAGAGTTGAACTTTCCTTTTGAAAGAGCAGCTATGAAACACTCTTTTTCGAGAATCTGCAAGTGGACGTTTGGAGGGCTTTGAGGCCTGTGGTGGAAAAGGAAATATCTTCACACAAAAACCAGATAGAAGCATTCTCAGAAACTACTTTGTGAGGATGGCATTCAAATCATGGAGTTGAACAATCCTATTGATAGAGCAGATTGGAATCACTCTTTTTATAGAATCTGCAAATGGAGATTTGGACTGCTTTGAGGCCTACGGTAGTACAGGAAGGAACTTCATATAAAAGGCAAACGGAAGCATTCTCAGAATATTCTTTGTGATGATGGAGTTTCACTCACAGAGCTGAACATGCCTTTTGATGGAGCAGTTTCCAAATACACTTTTGGTAGAATCTGCAGGTGGATATTTGGAGCTCTCTGAGGATTTCGTTGGAAACGGGAACAATTCCCCATAACTAAACACAAACACTCTGAGAAAGTTCTTCATGATGAATGCATTTAACTCGCAGAGATGAACCTGCCTTTGAGAGTTCAGGTTCGAAACACTCTTTCTGTAGAATCTGCAAGTGGATATTTGGACCACTGGGTGGCCTTCGTTCGAAACGGGTATATGTTCACGTAAAAACTAAAGAGAAGCATTCTCAGAAACTTCTGAGTGATGATTGCATTCAAGTCACACAGTTGAACCCTCCTTTTGATGGAGCAGTTTTGAAACTGTCTTTTTGTAGAATCTGTAAGTGGATACGTGGACCTCTTTGAAGATTTCTTTGAAACGGGAATATTTCCACAGAAAAACTAAACTGAAGCATTCTCAGAAACTGCTTTGTGATGTTTGTGTTCGAGCCACAGAGTTTAACATTGCTTTTCATAGATCAGTTTTGAAATATTCTTTTCGCAGAATCTGCAAGTGGACATTTGGAGCGCTTTCAGGCCTGTGGTGGAAAAGGCCTGAAAGCCTTTTCCTTTATCTTCACAGAAAGACGAGAGAGAAGCATTGTCAGAAACTTCTTTGTGATGATTGCATTCAACTCACAGAGTTGAAGATTCCTTTTGAAACAGCAGTTTCGAAACACTCTTTCTGTGGGATCCGCAAGGGGATATTTGGACCTCTTTGAAGGTTTCGTTGGAAACGGGATAATCCTCACCTAAAAGCTAAACGGGAAGCATTCTCAGAAACTTCTTTGGGATGTTTGCATTCACCTCACAGAGTTGAACTTTCCCTTTGATAGCGCAGCTTTGACACACTTTTTCTACAATGTGCAAGTGGCTATTTAGCGGGCTTGGAGGACTGTGTTGGAAAAGGAAATATCTTCTCCTAAAAACGACATAGAAGCATTCTCAGAAACTGCTCTGTGATGATTGCATTCAACTCCCAGAGTTGAACATTCCTTTTGATAGAGCAGTTTGCAAACACTCTTTTTGTAGAATCTGCAAGTGGAGATTTGGACCGCTTTGAGGCCTGTGGTAGTGAAGGAAAGAACTTCATATAAAAACCAGACGGTAGCACTCTCAGAAAATTCTTTGTGACGATGGAGTTTAACTCAGGGAGCTGAACATTCGTTATGATGGAGCAGTTTCCAAACACACGTTTTGTAGAATCTGCGAGGGGATATTTGGACCTCTCTGAGGATTTCGTTGGAAACGGGATCAACTTCCCATAACTGAACGGAAGCAAACTCAGAACATTCTCTGTGATGTTTGTATTCAACTCACAGAGTTGAACCTTCCTTTGATAGTTCAGGTTTGCAACACCCTTGTAGTAGAATCTGCAAGTGTATATTTTGACCACTTTGTAGCCTTCGTTTGAAACGTCTATATCTTCACATCAAACCTAGACAGAAGCATTCTCAGAAAGTTTTCTGCGATGACTGCATTCAACTCACAGAGTTGAACAATCCTTCTGATGGAGCAGTTTTGAAACCCTCTTTCTTTGGAATCTGCAAGGGGATATGTGGACCTCTTTGAAGATTTCACTGGAAACGGGATCATCTTCACATAAAAACTAAACAGAAGCATTCTCGGAAACTACTTTGTGATGTTTGTATTCAACTCCCAGAGTTGAACTTTCCTTTTGAAAGAGCAGCTATGAAACACTCTTTTTCGGGAATCTGCAAGTGGACGTTTGGAAGGCTTTGAGGCCTGTGGTGGAAAAGGAAATATCTTCACATAAAAACTAGATAGAAGCATTCTCAGAAACTACTTTGTGAGGATGGCATTCAACTCATGGAGTTGAACAGTCCTATTGATAGAGCAGATTGGAATCACTCTTTTTGTAGAATCTGCAAATGGAGATTTGGACTGCTTTGAGGCCTACGGTAGTATAGGAAGGAACTTCATATAAAAGGCAAACGGAAGCATTCTCAGAATATTCTTTGTGATGATGGAGTTTCACTCACAGAGCTGAACATGCCTTTTGATGGAGCAGTTTCCAAATACACTTTTGGTAGAATCTGCAGGTGGATACTTGGACCTCTCTGAGGATTTCGTTGGAAACAGGAATAATTTCCCATAACTAAACACAAACACTCTGAGAAAGTTCTTCATGATGAATGCATTTAACTCGCAGAGATGAACCTGCCTTTGAGAGTTCAGGTTCGAAACACTCTTTCTGTAGAATCTGCAAGTGGATATTTGGACCACTGGCTGGCCTTCGTTCGAAACGAGTGTATGTTCACGTAAAAACTAAAGAGATGCATTCTCAGAAACTTCTGAGTGATGATTGCATTCAAGTCACACAGTTGAACCCTCCTTTTGATTGAGCAGTTTTGAAACTGTCTTTTTGTAGAATCTGTAAGTGGATGCGTGGACCTCTTTGAAGATTTCTTTGGAAACGGGAATATTTCCACAGAAAAACTAAACTGAAGCATTCTCAGAAACTGCTTTGTTATGTTTGTGTTCGAGCCGCAGAATTTAACATTGCTATTCATAGAGCAGTTTTGAAATATTCTTTTGGCAGAATCTGCAAGTGGACATTTGGAGCGCTTTCAGGCCTGTGGTGGAAAAGGCCTGAAAGCCTTTTCCTTTATCTTCACAGAAAGATGAGAGAGAAGCATTGTCAGAAACTTCTTTGTGATGATTGCATTCAACTCACAGAGTTGAAGATTCCTTTTGAAACAGCAGTTTCGAAACACTCTTTCTGTGGGATCCGCAAGGGGATATTTGGACCTCTTTGAAGATTTCGTTGCAAACGGGATAATCTTCACCTAAAAGCTAAACGGAAGCATTCTCAGAAACTTCTTTGGGATGTTTGCATTCACCTCACAGAGTTGAACTTTCCCTTTGATAGCGCAGCTTCGACACACTTTTTCTACAATGTGCAAGTGGATATTTAGCGGGCTTGGAGGACTGTGTTGGAAAAGGAAATATCTTCTCCTAAAAACGACATAGAAGCATTCTCAGAAACTGCTCTGTGATGATTGCATTCAACTCCCAGAGTTGAACATTCCTTTTGATAGAGCAGTTTGCAAACACTCTTTTTGTAGAATCTGCAAGTGGAGATTTGGACCGCTTTGAGGCCTGTGGTAGTAAAGGAAAGAACTTCCTATAAAAACTAGACGGTAGCACTCTCAGAAAATTCTTTGTGACGATGGAGTTTAACTCAGAGAGCTGAACATTCGTTATGATGGAGCAGTTTCCAAACACACGTTTTGTAGAATCTGCAAGGGGATATTTGGACCTCTCTGAGGATTTCGTTGGAAACGGGATCAACTTCCCATAACTGAACGGAAGCAAACTCAGAACATTCTTTGTGATGTTTGTATTCAACTCACAGAGTTGAACCTTCCTTTGATAGTTCAGGCTTGCAACACCCTTGTAGTAGAATCTGCAAGTGTATATTTTGACCACTTTGTAGCCTTCGTTTGAAACGTCTATATCTTCACCTCAAACCTAGACAGAAGCATTCTCAGAAAGTTTTCTGCGATGACTGCATTCAACTCACAGAGTTGAACAATCCTTTTGATGGAGCAGTTTTGAAACCCTCTTTCTTTGGAATCTGCAAGGGGATATGTGGACCTCTTTGAAGATTTCACTGGAAACGGGATCATCTTCACATAAGAACTAAACAGAAGCATTCTCACAAACTACTTTGTGATGTTTGTATTCAACTCCCAGAGTTGAACTTTCCTTGTGAAAGAGCAGCTATGAAACACTCTTTTTCGAGAATCTGCAAGTGGACGTTTGGAGGGCTTTGAGGCCTGTGGTGGAAAAGGAAATATCTTCACATAAAAACTAGATAGAAGTATTCTCAGAAACGACTTTGTGAGGATGGCATTCAACTCATGGAGTTGAACAGTCCTATTGATAGAGCAGATTGGAATCACTCTTTTTGTAGAATCTGCAAATGGAGATTTGGACTGCTTTGAGGCCTACGGTAGTATAGGAAGGAACTTCATATAAAAGGCAAACGGAAGCATTCTCAGAATATTCTTTGTGATGATGGAGTTTCACTCACAGAGCTGAACATGCCTTTTGATGGAGCAGTTTCCAAATACACTTTTGGTAGAATCTGCAGGTGGATATTTGGAGCTCTCTGAGGATTTCGTTGGAAACGGGAATAATTTCCCATAACTAAACACAAACACGCTGAGAAAGTTCTTCATGATGAATGCATTGAACTCGCAGAGATGAACCTGCCTTTGAGAGTTCAGGTTCGAAACACTCTTTCTGTAGAATCTGCAAGTGGATATTTGGACCACTGGCTGGCCTTCGTTCGAAACGGGTATACGTTCACGTAAAAACTAAAGAGAAGCGTTCTCAGAAACTTCTGAGTGATGATTGCATTCAAGTCACACAGTTGAACCCTCCTTTTGATTGAGCAGTTTTGAAACTGTCTTTTTGTAGAATCTGTAAGTGGATGCGTGGACCTCTTTGAAGATTTCTTTGGAAACGGGAATATTTCCACAGAAAAACTAAACTGAAGCATTCTCAGAAACTGCTTTGTGATGTTTGTGTTCGAGCCGCAGAGTTTAACATTGCTTTTCATAGAGCAGTTTTGAAATATTCTTTTAGCAGAATCTGCAAGTGGACATTTGGAGCGCTTTCAGGCCTGCGGTGGAAAAGGCCTGAAAGCCTTTTCCTTTATCTTCACAGAAAGACGAGAGAGAAGCATTGTCAGAAACTTCTTTGTGATGATTGCATTCAACTCACAGAGTTGAAGATTCCTTTTGAAACAGCAGTTTCGAAACACTCTTTCTGTGGGATCCGCAAGGGGATATTTGGACCTCTTTGAAGGTTTCGTTGGAAACGGGATAATCTTCACCTAAAAGCTAAACGGAAGCATTCTCAGAAACTTCTTTGGGATGTTTGCATTCACCTCACAGAGTTGAACTTTCCCTTTGATAGCGCAGCTTTGACACACTTTTTCTACAATGTGCAAGTGGCTATTTAACGGGCTTGGAGGACTGTGTTGGAAAAGGAAATATCTTCTCCTAAAAACGACATAGAAGCATTCTCAGAAACTGCTCTGTGATGATTGCATTCAACTCCCAGAGTTGAACATTCCTTTTGATAGAGCAGTTTGCAAACACTCTTTTTGTAGAATCTGCAAGTGGAGATTTGGACCGCTTTGAGGTCTGTGGTAGTGAAGGAAAGAACTTCATATAAAAACCAGACGGTAGCACTCTCAGAAAATTCTTTGTGACGATGGAGTTTAACTCAGGGAGCTGAACATTCGTTATGATGGAGCAGTTTCCAAACACACGTTTTGTAGAATCTGCAAGGGGATATTTGGACCTCTCTGAGGATTTCGTTGGAAACGGGATCAACTTCCCATAACTGAACGGAAGCAAACTCAGAACATTTTTTGTGATGTTTGTATTCAACTCACAGTGTTGAACCTTCCTTTGATAGTTCAGGTTTGCAACACCCTTGTAGTAGAATCTGCAAGTGTATATTTTGACCACTTTGTAGCCTTCGTTTGAAACGTCTATATCTTCACATCAAACCTAGACAGAGAGCATTCTCAGAAGTTTTCTGCGATGACTGCATTCAACTCACAGAGTTGAACAATCCTTCTGATGGAGCAGTTTTGAAACCCTCTTTCTTTGGAATCTGCAAGGGGATATGTGGACCTCTTTGAAGATTTCACTGGAAACGGGATCATCTTCACATAAAAACTAAACAGAGCATTCTCGGAAACTACTTTGTGATGTTTGTATTCAACTCCCAGAGTTGAACTTTCCTTTTGAAAGAGCAGCTATGAAACACTCTTTTTCGAGAATCTGCAAGTGGACGTTTGGAGGGCTTTGAGGCCTGTGGTGGAAAAGGAAATATCTTCACATAAAAACTAGATAGAAGCATTCTCAGAAACTACTTTGTGAGGATGGCATTCAACTCATGGAGTTGAACAATCCTATTGATAGAGCAGATTGGAATCACTCTTTTTATAGAATCTGCAAATGGAGATTTGGACTGCTTTGAGGCCTACGGTAGTACAGGAAGGAACTTCATATAAAAGGCAAACGGGAAGCATTCTCAGAATATTCTTTGTGATGATGGAGTTTCACTCACAGAGCGGAACATGCCTTTTGATGGAGCAGTTTCCAAATACACTTTTGGTAGAATCTGCAGGTGGATATTTGGAGCTCTCTGAGGATTTCGTTGGAAACGGGAATAATTTCCCATAACTAAACACAAACACTCTGAGAAAGTTCTTCATGATGAATGCATTTAACTCGCAGAGATGAACCTGCCTTTGAGAGTTCAGGTTCGAAACACTCTTTCTGTAGAATCTGCAAGTGGATATTTGGACCACTGGGTGGCCTTCGTTCGAAACGGGTATATGTTCACGTAAAAACTAAAGAGAAGCGTTCTCAGAAACTTCTGAGTGATGATTGCATTCAAGTAACACAGTTGAACCCTCCTTTTGATGGAGCAGTTTTGAAACTGTCTTTTTGTAGAATCTGTAAGTGGATACGTGGACCTCTTTGAAGATTTCTTTGGAAACGGGAATATTTCCACAGAAAAACTAAACTGAAGCATTCTCAGAAACTGCTTTGTGATGTTTGTGTTCGAGCCACAGAGTTTAACATTGCTTTTCATAGAGCAGTTTTGAAATATTCTTTTGGCAGAATCTGCAAGTGGACATTTGGAGCGCTTTCAGGCCTGTGGTGGAAAAGGCCTGAAAGCCTTTTCCTTTATCTTCACAGAAAGACGAGAGAGAAGCATTGTCAGAAACTTCTTTGTGATGATTGCATTCAACTCACAGAGTTGAAGATTCCTTTTGAAACAGCAGTTTCGAAACACTCTTTCTGTGGGATCCGCAAGGGGATATTTGGACCTCTTTGAAGGTTTCGTTGGAAACGGGATAATCTTCACCTAAAAGCTAAACGGAAGCACTCTCAGAAACTTCTTTGGGATGTTTGCATTCACCTCACAGAGTTGAACTTTCCCTTTGATAGCGCAGCTTTGACACACTTTTTCTACAATGTGCAAGTGGATATTTAGCGGGCGTGGAGGACTGTGTTGGAAAAGGAAATATCTTCTCCTAAAAACGACATAGAAGCATTCTCAGAAACTGCTCTGTGATGATTGCATTCAACTCCCAGGAGTTGAACATTCCTTTTGATAGAGCAGTTTGCAAACACTCTTTTTGTAGAATCTGCAAGTGGAGATTTGGACCGCTTTGAGGCCTGTGGTAGTGAAGGAAAGAACTTCATATAAAAACCAGACGGTAGCACTCTCAGAAAATTCTTTGTGACGATGGAGTTTAACTCAGGGAGCTGAACATTCGTTATGATGGAGCAGTTTCCAAACACACGTTTTGTAGAATCTGCGAGGGGATATTTGGACCTCTCTGAGGATTTCGTTGGAAACGGGATCAACTTCCCATAACTGAACGGAAGCAAACTCAGAACATTCTTTGTGATGTTTGTATTCAATTCACAGAGTTGAACCTTCCTTTGATAGTTCAGGTTTGCAACACCCTTGTAGTAGAATCTGCAAGTGTATATTTTGACCACTTTGTAGCCTTCGTTTGAAACGTCTATATCTTCACATCAAACCTAGACAGAAGCATTCTCAGAAAGTTTTCTGCGATGACTGCATTCAACTCACAGAGTTGAACAATCCTTTCGATGGAGCAGTTTTGAAACCCTCTTTCTTTGGAATCTGCAAGGGGATATGTGGACCTCTTTGAAGATTTCACTGGAAACGGGATCATCTTCACATAAGAACTAAACAGAAGCATTCTCGGAAACTACTTTGTGATGTTTGTATTCAACTCCCAGAGTTGAACTTTCCTTTTGAAAGAGCGGCTATGAAACACTCTTTTTCGAGAATCTGCAAGTTGACGTTTGGAGGGCTTTGAGGCCTGTGGTGGAAAAGGAAATATCTTCACATAAAAACTAGATAGAAGCATTCTCAGAAACTACTTTGTGAGGATGGCATTCAACTCATGGAGTTGAACAATCCTATTGATAGAGCAGATTGGAATCACTCTTTTTGTAGAATCTGCAAATGGAGATTTGGACTGCTTTGAGGCCTACGGTCGTATAGGAAGGAACTTCATATAAAAGGCAAACGGAAGCATTCTCAGAATATTCTTTGTGATGATGGAGTTTCACTCACAGAGCTGAACATGCCTTTTGATGGAGCAGTTTCCAAATACACTTTTGGTAGAATCTGCAGGTGGATATTTGGAGCTCTTTGAGGATTTCGTTGGAAACGGGAATAATTTCCCATAACTAAACACAAACACGCTGAGAAATTTCTTCATGATGAATGCATTTAACTCGCAGTGATGAACCTGCCTTTGAGAGTTCAGGTTCGAAACACTCTTTCTGTAGAATCTGCAAGTGGATATTTGGACCACTGGGTGGCCTTCGTTCGAAACGGGTATATGTTCACGTAAAAACTAAAGAGAAGCATTCTCAGAAACTTCTGAGTGATGATTGCATTCAAGTCACACAGTTGAACCCTCGTTTTGATGGAGCAGTTTTGAAACTGTCTTTTTGTAGAATCTGTAAGTGGATACGTGGACCTCTTTGAAGATTTCTTTGGAAACGGGAATATTTCCACAGAAAAACTAAACTGAAGCATTCTCAGAAACCGCTTTGTGATGTTTGTGTTCGAGCCGCAGAGTTTAACATTGCTTTTCATAGAGCAGTTTTGAAATATTCTTTTGGCAGAATCTGCAAGTGGACATTTGGAGCGCTTTCAGGCCTGTGGTGGAAAAGGCCTGAAAGCCTTTTCCTTTATCTTCACAGAAAGACGAGAGAGAAGCATTGTCAGAAACTTCTTTGTGATGATTGCATTCAACTCACAGAGTTGAAGATTCCTTTTGAAACAGCAGTTTCGAAACTCTCTTTCTGTGGGATCCGCAAGGGGATATTTGGACCTCTTTGAAGGTTTCGTTGGAAACGGGATAATCTTCACCTAAAAGCTAAACGGAAGCATTCTCAGAAACTTCTTTGGGATGTTTGCATTCACCTCACAGAGTTGAACTTTCCCTTTGATAGCGCAGCTTCGACACACTTTTTCTACAATGTGCAAGTGGATATTTAGCGGGCTTGGAGGACTGTGTTGGAAAAGGAAATATCTTCTCCTAAAAACGACATAGAAGCATTCTCAGAAACTGCTCTGTGATGATTGCATTCAACTCCCAGAGTTGAACATTCCTTTTGATAGAGCAGTTTGCAAACACTCTTTTTGTAGAATCTGCAAGTGGAGATTTGGACCGCTTTGAGGCCTGTGGTAGTAAAGGAAACAACTTCATATAAAAACCAGACGGTAGCACTCTCAGAAAATTCTTTGTGACGATGGAGTTTAACTCAGAGAGCTGAATATCCGTTATGATGGAGCAGTTTCCAAACACACGTTTTGTAGAATCTGCAAGGGGATATTTGGACCTCTCTGAGGATTTCGTTGGAAACGGGATCAACTTCCCATAACTGAACGGAAGCAAACTCAGAACATTCTTTGTGATGTTTGTATTCAACTCACAGAGTTGAACCTTCCTTTTATAGTTGAGGTTTGCATCACCCTTGTAGTAGAATCTGCAAGTGTATATTTTGACCACTTTGTAGCCTTCGTTTGAAACGTCTATATCTTCACATCAAACCTAGACAGAAGCATTCTCAGAAAGTTTTCTGCGATGACTGCATTCAACTCACAGATTTGAACAATCCTTTTGATGGAGCAGTTTTGAAACCCTCTTTCTTTGGAATCTGCAAGGGGATATGTGGACCTCTTTGAAGATTTCACTGGAAACGGGATCATCTTCACATAAGAACTAAACAGAAGCATTCTCGGAAACTACTTTGTGATGTTTGTATTCAACTCCCAGAGTTGAACTTTCCTTTTGAAAGAGCAGCTATGAAACACTCTTTTTCGAGAATCTGCAAGTGGACGTTTGGAGGGCTTTGAGGCCTGTGGTGGAAAAGGAAATATCTTCACATAAAAACTAGATAGAAGCATTCTCAGAAACTACTTTGTGAGGATGGCATTCAACTCATGGAGTTGAACAATCATATTGATAGAGCAGATTGGAATCACTCTTTTTGTAGAATCTGCAAATGGAGATTTGGACTGCTTTGAGGCCTACGGTAGTATAGGAAGGAACTTCATATAAAAGGCAAACGGAAGCATTCTCAGAATATTCTTTGTGATGATGGAGTTTCACTCACAGAGCTGAACATGCCTTTTGATGGAGCAGTTTCCAAATAGACTTTTGGTAGAATCTGCAGGTGGATATTTGGAGCTCTCTGAGGATTTCGTTGGAAACGGGAATAATTTCCCATAACTAAACACAAACACGCTGAGAAAGTTCTTCATGATGAATGCATTTAACTCGCAGAGATGAACCTGCCTTTGAGAGTTCAGGTTCAAAACACTCTTTCTGTAGAATCTGCAAGTGGATATTTGGACCACTGGCTGGCCTTCGTTCGAAACGGGTATATGTTCACGTAAAAACTAAAGAGAAGCATTCTCAGAAACTTCTGAGTGATGAATGCATTCAAGTCACACAGTTGAACCCTCCTTTTGATTGAGCAGTTTTGAAACTGTCTTTTTGTAGAATCTGTAAGTGGATGCGTGGACCTCTTTGAAGATTTCTTTGGAAACGGGAATATTTCCACAGAAAAACTAAACTGAAGCATTCTCAGAAACTGCTTTGTGATGTTTGTGTTCGAGCCGCAGAGTTTAACATTGCTTTTCATAGAGCAGTTTTGAAATATTCTTTTGGCAGAATCTGCAAGTGGACATTTGGAGCGCTTTCAGGCCTGTGGTGGAAAAGGCCTGAAAGCCTTTTCCTTTATCTTCACAAAAAGACGAGAGAGAAGCATTGTCAGAAACTTCTTTGTGATGATTGCATTCAACTCACAGAGTTGAAGATTCCTTTTGAAACAGCAGTTTCGAAACACTCTTTCTGTGGGATCCGCAAGGGGATATTTGGACCTCTTTGAAGGTTTCGTTGGAAACGGGATAATCTTCACCTAAAAGCTAAACGGAAGCACTCTCAGAAACTTCTTTGGGATGTTTGCATTCACCTCTCAGAGTTGAACTTTCCCTTTGATAGCGCAGCTTTGACACACTTTTTCTACAATGTGCAAGTGGATATTTAGCGGGCTTGGAGGACTGTGTTGGAAAAGGAAATATCTTCTCCTATAAACGACATAGAAGCATTCTCAGAAACTGCTCTGTGATGATTGCATTCAACTCCCAGAGTTGAACATTCCTTTTGATAGAGCAGTTTGCAAACACTCTTTTTGTAGAATCTGCAAGTGGAGATTTGGACCGCTTTGAGGCCTGTGGTAGTGAAGGAAAGAACTTCATATAAAAACCAGACGGTAGCACTCTCAGAAAATTCTTTGTGACGATGGAGTTTAACTCAGGGAGCTGAACATTCGTTATGATGGAGCAGTTTCCAAACACACGTTTTGTAGAATCTGCAAGGGGATATTTGGACCTCTCTGAGGATTTCGTTGGAAACGGGATCAACTTCCCATAACTGAACGGAAGCAAACTCAGAACATTCTTTGTGATGTTTGTATTCAACTCACAGAGTTGAACCTTCCTTTGATAGTTCAGGTTTGCAACACCCTTGTAGTAGAATCTGCAAGTGTATATTTTGACCACTTTGTAGCCTTCGTTTGAAACGTCTATATCTTCACATCAAACCTAGACAGAAGCATTCTCAGAAAGTTTTCTGCGATGACTGCATTCAACTCACAGAGTTGAACAATCCTCTGATGGAGCAGTTTTGAAACCCTCTTTCTTTGGAATCTGCAAGGGGATATGTGGACCTCTTTGAAGATTTCACTGGAAACGGGATCATCTTCACATAAAAACTAAACAGAAGCATTCTCGGAAACTATTTTGTGATGTTTGTATTCAACTCCCAGAGTTGAACTTTCCTTTTGAAAGAGCAGCTATGAAACACTCTTTTTCGAGAATCTGCAAGTGGACGTTTGGAGGGCTTTGAGGCCTGTGGTGGAAAAGGAAATATCTTCACACAAAAACCAGATAGAAGCATTCTCAGAAACTACTTTGTGAGGATGGCATTCAACTCATGGAGTTGAACAATCCTATTGATAGAGCAGATTGGAATCACTCTTTTTATAGAATCTGCAAATGGAGATTTGGACTGCTTTGAGGCCTATGGTAGTACAGGAAGGAACTTCATATAAAAGGCAAACGGAAGCATTCTCAGAATATTCTTTGTGATGATGGAGTTTCACTCACAGAGCTGAACATGCCTTTTGATGGAGCAGTTTCCAAATACACTTTTGGTAGAATCTGCAGGTGGATATTTGGAGCTCTCTGAGGATTTCGTTGGAAACGGGAATAATTTCCCATAACTAAACACAAACACTCTGAGAAAGTTCTTCATGATGAATGCATTGAACTCTCAGAGATGAACCTGCCTTTGAGAGTTCAGGTTCAAAACACTCTTTCTGTAGAATCTGCAAGTGGATATTTGGACCACTGGCTGGCCTTCGTTTGAAACGGGTATATGTTCCCGTAAAAACTAAAGAGAAGCATTCTCAGAAACTTCTGAGTGATGATTGCATTCAAGTCACACAGTTGAACCCTCCTTTTGATGGAGCAGTTTTGAAACTGTCTTTTTGTAGAATCTGTAAGTGGATACGTGGACCTCTTTGAAGATTTCTTTGGAAACGGGAATATTTCCACAGAAAAACTAAACTGAAGCATTCTCAGAAACTGCTTTGTGATGTTTGTGTTCGAGCCACAGAGTTTAACATTGCTTTTCATAGAGCAGTTTTGAAATATTCTTTTGGCAGAATCTGCAAGTGGACATTTGGAGCGCTTTCAGGCCTGTGGTGGAAAAGGCCTGAAAGCCTTTTCCTTTATCTTCACAGAAAGACGAGAGAGAAGCATTGTCAGAAACTTCTTTGTGATGATTGCATTCAACTCACAGAGTTGAAGATTCCTTTTGAAACAGCAGTTTCGAAACACTCTTTCTGAGGGATCCGCAAGGGGATATTTGGACCTCTTTGAAGGTTTCGTTGGAAGCGGGATAATCTTCACCTAAAAGCTAAACGGAAGCATTCTCAGAAACTTCTTTGGGATGTTTGCATTCACCTCACAGAGTTGAACTTTCCCTTTGATAGCGCAGCTTTGACACACTTTTTCTACAATGTGCAAGTGGCTATTTAGCGGGCTTGGAGGACTGTGTTGGAAAAGGAAATATCTTCTCCTAAAAACGACATAGAAGCATTCTCAGAAACTGCTCTGTGATGATTGCATTCAACTCCCAGAGTTGAACATTCCTTTTGATAGAGCAGTTTGCAAACACTCTTTTTGTAGAATCTGCAAGTGGAGATTTAGACCGCTTTGAGGCCTGTGGTAGTGAAGGAAAGAACTTCATATAAAAACCAGACGGTAGCACTCTCAGAAAATTCTTTGTGACGATGTAGTTTAACTCAGGGAGCTGAACATTCGTTATGATGGAGCAGTTTCCAAACACACGTTTTGTAGAATCTGCGAGGGGATATTTGGACCTCTCTGAGGATTTCGTTGGAAACGGGATCAACTTCCCATAACTGAACGGAAGCAAACTCAGAACATTCTTTATGATGTTTGAATTCAACTCACAGAGTTGAACCTTCCTTTGATAGTTCAGGTTTGCAACACCCTTGTAGTAGAATCTGCAAGTGTATATTTTGACCACTTTGTAGCCTTCGTTTGAAACGTCTATATCTTCACATCAAACCTAGACAGAACCATTCTCAGAAAGTTTTCTGCGATGACTGCATTCAACTCACAGAGGTGAACAATCCTTTTGATGGAGCAGTTTTGAAACCCTCTTTCTTTGGAATCTGCAAGGGGATATGTGGACCTCTTTGAAGATTTCACTGGAAACGGGATCATCTTCACATAAGAACTAAACAGAAGCATTCTCGGAAACTACTTTGTGATGTTTGTATTCAACTCCCAGAGTTGAACTTTCCTTTTGAAAGAGCAGCTATGAAACACTCTTTTTCGAGAATCTGCAAGTGGACGTTTGGAGGGCTTTGAGGCCTGTGGTGGAAAAGGAAATATCTTCACATAAAAACTAGATAGAAGCATTCTCAGAAACGACTTTGTGAGGATGGCATTCAACTCATGGAGTTGAACAATCCTATTGATAGAGCAGATTGGAATCACTCTTTTTGTAGAATCTGCAAATGGAGATTTGGACTGCTTTGAGGCCTACGGTCGTATAGGAAGGAACTTCATATAAAAGGCAAACGGGAAGCATTCTCAGAATATTCTTTGTGATGATGGAGTTTCACTCACAGAGCTGAACATGCCTTTTGATGGAGCAGTTTCCAAATACACTTTTGGTAGAATCTGCAGGTGGATATTTGGAGCTCTCTGAGGATTTCGTTGGAAACGGGAATAATTTCCCATAACTAAACACAAACACGCTGAGAAAGTTCTTCATGATGAATGCATTTAACTCGCAGAGATGAACCTGCCTTTGAGAGTTCAGGTTCGAAACACACTTTCTGTATAATCTGCAAGTGGATATTTGGACCACTGGGTGGCCTTCGTTCGAAACGGGTATATGTTCACGTAAAAACTAAAGAGAAGCATTCTCAGAAACTTCTGAGTGATGATTGCATTCAAGTCACACAGTTGAACCCTCCCTTTTGATGGAGCAGTTTTGAAACTGTCTTTTTGTAGAATCTGTAAGTGGATACGTGGACCTCTTTGAAGATTTCTTTGGAAACGGGAATATTTCCACAGAAAAACTAAACTGAAGCATTCTCAGAAACTGCTTTGTGATGTTTGTGTTCGAGCCACAGAGTTTAACATTGCTTTTCATAGAGCAGTTTTGAAATATTCTTTTGGCAGAATCTGCAAGTGGACATTTGGAGCGCTTTCAGGCCTGTGGTGGAAAAGGCCTGAAAGCCTTTTCCTTTATCTTCACAGAAAGACGAGAGAGAAGCATTGTCAGAAACTTCTTTGTGATGATTGCATTCAACTCACAGAGTTGAAGATTCCTTTTGAAACAGCAGTTTCGAAACACTCTTTCTGTGGGATCCGCAAGGGGATATTTGGACCTCTTTGAAGGTTTCGTTGGAAACGGGATAATCTTCACCTAAAAGCTAAACGGAAGCATTCTCAGAAACTTCTTTGGGATGTTTGCATTCACCTCACAGAGTTGAACTTTCCCTTTGATAGCGCAGCTTTGACACACTTTTTCTACAATGTGCAAGTGGCTATTTAGCGGGCTTAGAGGACTGTGTTGGAAAAGGAAATATCTTCTCCTAAAAACGACATAGAAGCATTCTCAGAAACTGCTCTGTGATGATTGCATTCAACTCCCAGAGTTGAACATTCCTTTTGATAGAGCAGTTTGCAAACACTCTTTTTGTAGAATCTGCAAGTGGAGATTTGGACCGCTTTGAGGCCTGTGGTAGTGAAGGAAAGAACTTCATATAAAAACCAGACGGTAGCACTCTCAGAAAATTCTTTGTGACGATGGAGTTTAACTCAGGGAGCTGAACATTCGTTATGATGGAGCAGTTTCCAAACACACGTTTTGTAGAATCTGCGAGGGGATATTTGGACCTCTCTGAGGATTTCGTTGGAAACGGGATCAACTTCCCATAACTGAACGGAAGCAAACTCAGAACATTCTTTGTGATGTTTGTATTCAACTCACAGAGTTGAACCTTCCTTTGATAGTTCAGGTTTGCAACACCCTTGTAGTAGAATCTGCAAGTGTATATTTTGACCACTTTGTAGCCTTCGTTTGAAACGTCTATATCTTCACATCAAAACTAGACAGAAGCATTCTCAGAAAGTTTTCTGCGATGACTGCATTCAACTCACAGAGTTGAACAATCCTTCTGATGGAGCAGTTTTGAAACCCTCTTTCTTTGGAATCTGCAAGGGGATATGTGGACCTCTTTGAAGATTTCACTGGAAACGGGATCATCTTCACATAAAAACTAAACAGAAGCATTCTCGGAAACTACTTTGTGATGTTTGTATTCAACTCCCAGAGTTGAGCTTTCCTTTTGAAAGAGCAGCTATAAAACACTCTTTTTCGAGAATCTGCAAGTGGACGTTTGGAGGGCTTTGAGGCCTGTGGTGGAAAAGGAAATATCTTCACACAAAAACTAGATAGAAGCATTCTCAGAAACTACTTTGTGAGGATGGCATTCAACTCATGGAGTTGAACAATCCTATTGATAGAGCAGATTGGAATCACTCTTTTTGTAGAATCTGCAAATGGAGATTTGGACTGCTTTGAGGCCTACGGTCGTATAGGAAGGAACTTCAGATAAAAGGCAAACGGAAGCATTCTCAGAATATTCTTTGTGATGATGGAGTTTCACTCACAGAGCTGAACATGCCTTTTGATGGAGCAGTTTCCAAATACACTTTTGGTAGAATCTGCAGGTGGATATTTGGAGCTCTCTGAGGATTTCGTTGGAAACGGGAATAATTTCCCATAACTAAACACAAACACTCTGAGAAAGTTCTTCATGATGAATGCATTTAACTCGCAGAGATGAACCTGCCTTTGAGAGTTCAGGTTTGAAACACTCTTTCCGTAGAATCTGCAAGTGGATATTTGGACCACTGGGTGGCCTTCGTTCGAAACGGGTATATGTTCACGTAAAAACTAAAGAGAAGCATTCTCAGAAACTTGTGAGTGATGATTGCATTCAAGTCACACAGTAGAACCCTCCTTTTGATGGAGCAGTTTTGAAACTGTCTTTTTGTAGAATCTGTAAGTGGATACGTGGACCTCTTTGAAGATTTCTTTGGAAACGGGAATATTTCCACAGAAAAACTAAACTGAAGCATTCTCAGAAACTGCTTTGTGATGTTTGTGTTCGAGCCACAGAGTTTAACATTGCTTTTCATAGAGCAGTTTTGAAATATTCTTTTGGCAGAATCTGCAAGTGGACATTTGGAGCGCTTTCAGGCCTGTGGTGGAAAAGGCCTGAAAGCCTTTTCCTTTATCTTCACAGAAAGACGAGAGAGAAGCATTGTCAGAAACTTCTTTGTGATGATTGCATTCAACTCACAGAGTTGAAGATTCCTTTTGAAACAGCAATTTCGAAACACTCTTTCTGTGGGATCCGCAAGGGGATATTTGGACCTCTTTGAAGATTTCGTTGGAAACGGGATAATCTTCACCTAAAAGCTAAACGGAAGCATTCTCAGAAACTTCTTTGGGATGTTTGCATTCACCTCACATAGTTGAACTTTCCCTTTGATAGCGCAGCTTCGACACACTTTTTCTACAATGTGCAAGTGGATATTTAGCGGGCTTGGAGGACTGTGTTGGAAAAGGAAATATCTTCTCCTAAAAACGACATAGAAGCATTCTCAGTAAACTGCTCTGTGATGATTGCATTCAACTCCCAGAGTTGAACATTCCTTTTGATAGAGCAGTTTGCAAACACTCTTTTTGTAGAATCTGCAAGTGGAGATTTGGACCGCTTTGAGGCCTGTGGTAGTGAAGGAAAGAACTTCATATAAAAACCAGACGGTAGCACTCTCAGAAAATTCTTTGTGACGATGGAGTTTAACTCAGGGAGCTGAACATTCGTTATGATGGAGCAGTTTCCAAACACACGTTTTGTAGAATCTGCGAGGGGATATTTGGACCTCTCTGAGGATTTCGTTGGAAACGGGATCAACTTCCCATAACTGAACGGAAGCAAACTCAGAACATTCTTTGTGATGTTTGTATTCAATTCACAGAGTTGAACCTTCCTTTGATAGTTCAGGTTTGCAACACCCTTGTAGTAGAATCTGCAAGTGTATATTTTGACCACTTTGTAGCCTTCGTTTGAAACGTCTATATCTTCACATCAAACCTAGACAGAAGCATTCTCAGAAAGTTTTCTGCGATGACTGCATTCAACTCACACAGTTGAACAATCCTTCTGATGGAGCAGTTTTGAAACCCTCTTTCTTTGGAATCTGCAAGGGGATATGTGGACCTCTTTGAAGATTTCACTGGAAACGGGATCATCTTCACATAAAAACTAAACAGAAGCATTCTCGGAAACTACTTTGTGATGTTTGTATTCAACTCCCAGAGTTGAACTTTCCTTTTGAAAGAGCAGCTATGAAACACTCTTTTTCGAGAATCTGCAAGTGGACGTTTGGAGGGCTTTGAGGCCTGTGGTGGAAAAGGAAATATCTTCACATAAAAACTAGATAGAAGCATTCTCAGAAACGACTTTGTGAGGATGGCATTCAACTCATGGAGTTGAACAATCCTATTGATAGAGCAGATTGGAATCACTCTTTTTGTAGAATCTGCAAATGGAGATTTGGACTGCTTTGAGGCCTACGGTAGTATAGGAAGGAACTTCATATAAAAGGCAAACGGAAGCATTCTCAGAATATTCTTTGTGATGATGGAGTTTCACTCACAGAGCTGAACATGCCTTTTGATGGAGCAGTTTCCAAATACACTTTTGGTAGAATCTGCAGGTGGATATTTGGAGCTCTCTGAGGATTTCGTTGGAAAAGGGAATAATTTCCCATAACTAAACACAAACACTCTGAGAAAGTTCTTCATGATGAATGCATTTAACTCGCAGAGATGAACCTGCCTTTGAGAGTTCAGGTTCGAAACACTCTTTCTGTAGAATCTGCAAGTGGATATTTGGACCACTGGCTGGCCTTCGTTCGAAACGGGTATATGTTCACGTAAAAACTAAAGAGAAGCATTCTCAGAAACTTCTGAGTGATGATTACATTCAAGTCACACAGTTGAACCCTCCTTTTGATGGAGCAGTTTTGAAACTGTCTTTTTGTAGAATCTGTAAGTGGATACGTGGACCTCTTTGAATATTTCTTTGGAAACGGGAATATTTCCACAGAAAAACTAAACTGAAGCATTCTCAGAAACTGCTTTGTGATGTTTGTGTTCGAGCCACAGAGTTTAACATTGCTTTTCATAGAGCAGTTTTGAAATATTCTTTTGGCAGAATCTGCAAGTGGACATTTGGAGCGCTTTCAGGCCTGTGGTTGAAAAGGCCTGAAAGCCTTTTCCTTTATCTTCACAGAAAGACGAGAGAGAAGCATTGTCAGAAACTTCTTTGTGATGATTGCTTTCAACTCACAGAGTTGAAGATTCCTTTTGAAACAGCAGTTTCGAAACACTCTTTCTGTGGGATCCGCAAGGGGATATTTGGACCTCTTTGAAGGTTTCGTTGGAAACGGGATAATCTTCACCTAAAAGCTAAACGGAGGCATTCTCAGAAACTTCTTTGGGATGTTTGCATTCACCTCACAGAGTTGACCTTTCCCTTTGATAGCACAGCTTCGACACACTTTTTCTACAATGTGCAAGTGGATATTTAGCGGGCTTGGAGGACTGTGTTGGAAAAGGAAATATCTTCTCCTAAAAACGACATAGAAGCATTCTCAGAAACTGCTCTGTGATGATTGCATTCAACTCCCAGAGTTGAACATTCCTTTTGATAGAGCAGTTTGCAAACACTCTTTTTGTAGAATCTGCAAGTGGAGATTTGGACCGCTTTGAGGCCTGTGGTAGTGAAGGAAAGAACTTCATATAAAAACCAGACGGTAGCACTCTCAGAAAATTCTTTGTGACGATGGAGTTTAACTCAGGGAGCTGAACATTCGTTATGATGGAGCAGTTTCCAAACACACGTTTTGTAGAATCTGCGAGGGGATATTTGGACCTCTCTGAGGATTTCGTTGGAAACGGGATCAACTTCCCATAACTGAACGGAAGCAAACTCAGAACATTCTTTGTGATGTTTGTATTCAACTCACAGAGTTGAACCTTCCTTTGATAGTTCAGGTTTGCAACACCCTTGTAGTAGAATCTGCAAGTGTATATTTTGACCACTTTGTAGCCTTCGTTTGAACGTCTATATCTTCACATCAAACCTAGACAGAAGCATTCTCAGAAAGTTTTCTGCGATGACTGCATTCAACTCACAGAGTTGAACAATCCTTCTGATGGAGCAGTTTTGAAACCCTCTTTCTTTGGAATCTGCAAGGGGATATGTGGACCTCTTTGAAGATTTCACTGGAAACGGGATCATCTTCACATAAAAACTAAACAGAAGCATTCTCGGAAACTACTTTGTGATGTTTGTATTCAACTCCCAGAGTTGAACTTTCCTTTTGAAAGAGCAGCTATGAAACACTCTTTTTCGAGAATCTGCAAGTGGACGTTTGGAAGGCTTTGAGGCCTGTGGTGGAAAAGGAAATATCTTCACATAAAAACTAGATAGAAGCATTCTCAGAAACGACTTTGTGAGGATGGCATTCAACTCATGGAGTTGAACAATCCTATTGATAGAGCAGATTGGAATCACTCTTTTTGTAGAATCTGCAAATGGAGATTTGGACTGCTTTGAGGCCTACGGTCGTATAGGAAGGAACTTCATATAAAAGGCAAACGGAAGCATTCTCAGAATATTCTTTGTGATGATGGAGTTTCACTCACAGAGCTGAACATGCCTTTTGATGGAGCAGTTTCCAAATACACTTTTGGTAGAATCTGCAGGTGGATATTTGGAGCTCTCTGAGAATTTCGTTGGAAACGGGAATAATTTCCCATAACTAAACACAAACACTCTGAGAAAGTTCTTCATGATGAATGCATTTAACTCGCAGAGATGAACCTGCCTTTGAGAGTTCAGGTTCGAAACACTCTTTCTGTAGAATCTGCAAGTGGATATTTGGACCACTGGGTGGCCTTCGTTCGAAACGGGTATATGTTCACGTAAAAACTAAAGAGAAGCATTCTCAGAAACTTCTGAGTGATGATTGCATTCAAGTCACACAGTTGAACCCTCCTTTTGATGGAGCAGTTTTGAAACTGTCTTTTTGTAGAATCTGTAAGTGGATACGTGGACCTCTTTGAAGATTTCTTTGGAAACGGGAATATTTCCACAGAAAAACTAAACTGAAGCATTCTCAGAAACTGCTTTGTGATGTTTGTGTTCGAGCCACAGAGTTTAACATTGCTTTTCATAGAGCAGTTTTCAAATATTCTTTTCACAGAATCTGCAAGTGGACATTTGGAGCGCTTTCAGGCCTGTGGTGGAAAAGGCCTGAAAGCCTTTTCCTTTATCTTCACAGAAAGACGAGAGAGAAGCATTGTCAGAAACTTCTTTGTGATGATTGCATTCAACTCACAGAGTTGAAGATTCCTTTTGAAACAGCAGTTTCGAAACACTCTTTCTGTGGGATCCGCAAGGGGATATTTGGACCTCTTTGAAGATTTCGTTGCCAACGGGATAATCTTCACTTAAAAGCAAAACGGAAGCATTCTCAGAAACTTCTTTGGGATGTTTGCATTCACCTCACAGAGTTGAACTTTCCCTTTGATAGCGCAGCTTCGACACACTTTTTCTACAATGTGCAAGTGGATATGTAGCGGGCTTGGAGGACTGTGTTGGAAAAGGAAATATCTTCTCCTAAAAACGACATAGAAGCATTCTCAGAAACTGCTCTGTGATGATTGCATTCAACTCCCAGAGTTGAACATTCCTTTTGATAGAGCAGTTTGCAAACACTCTTTTTGTAGAATCTGCAAGTGGAGATTTGGACCGCTTTGAGGCCTGTGGTAGTAAAGGAAAGAACTTCATATAAAAACTAGACGGTAGCACTCTCAGAAAATTCTTTGTGACGATGGAGTTTAACTCAGAGAGCTGAACATTCGTTATGATGGAGCAGTTTCCAAACACACGTTTTGTAGAATCTGCAAGGGGATATTTGGACCTCTCTGAGGATTTCGTTGGAAACGGGATCAACTTCCCATAACTGAACGGAAGCAAACTCAGAACATTCTTTGTGATGTTTGTATTCAACTCACAGAGTTGAACCTTCCTTTGATAGTTCAGGTTGGCAAAACCCTTGTAGTAGAATCTGCAAGTGTATATTTTGACCACTTTGTAGCCTTCGTTTGAAACGTCTATATCTTCACATCAAACCTAGACAGAATCATTCTCAGAAAGTTTTCTGCGATGACTGCATTCAACTCACAGAGTTGAGCAATCCTTTTGATGGAGCAGTCTTGAAACCCTCTTTCTTTGGAATCTGCAAGGGGATATGTGGACCTCTTTGAAGATTTCAATGGAAATGGGATCATCTTCACATAAAAACTAAACAGAAGCATTCTCGGAAACTACTTTGTGATGTTTGTATTCAACTCCCAGAGTTGAACTTTCCTTTTGAAAGAGTAGCTATGAAACACTCTTTTTCGAGAATCTGCAAGTGGACGTTTGGAGGGCTTTGAGGCCTGTGGTGGAAAAGGAAATATCTTCACATAAAAACTAGATAGAAGCATTCTCAGAAACGACTTTGTGAGGATGGCATTCAACTCATGGAGTTGAACAATCCTATTGATAGAGCAGATTGGAATCACTCTTTTTGTAGAATCTGCAAATGGACATTTGGACTGCTTTGAGGCCTACGGTAGTACAGGAAGGAACTTCATATAAAAGGCAAACGGAAGCATTCTGAGAATATTTTGTGTGATGATGGAGTTTCACTCACAGAGCTGAACATGCCTTTTGATGGAGCAGTTTCCAAATACACTTTTGGTAGAATCTGCAGGTGGATATTTGAGCTCTCTGAGGATTTCGTTGGAAACGGGAATAATTTCCCATAACTAAACACAAACACGCTGAGAACGTTCTTCATGATGAATGCATTGAACTCGCAGAGATGAACCTGCCTTTGAGAGTTCAGGTTCGAAACACTCTTTCTGTAGAATCTGCAAGTGGATATTTGGACCACTGGCTGGCCTTCGTTCGAAACGGGTATATGTTCACGTAAAAACTAAAGAGAAGCATTCTCAGAAACTTCTGAGTGATGATTGCATTCAAGTCACACAGTTGAACCCTCCTTTTGATGGAGCAGTTTTGAAACTGTCTTTTTGTAGAATCTGTAAGTGGACACGTGGACCTCTTTGAAGATTTCTTTGGAAACGGGAATATTTCCACAGAAAAACTAAACTGAAGCATTCTCAGAAACTGCTTTGTGATGTTTGTGTTCGAGCCACAGAGTTTAACATTGCTTTTCATAGAGCAGTTTTGCAATATTCTTTTCACAGAATCTGCAAGTGGACATTTGGAGCGCTTTCAGGCCTGTGGTGGAAAAGGCCTGAAAGCCTTTTCCTTTATCTTCACAGAAAGACGAGAGAGAAGCATTGTCAGAAACTTCTTTGTGATGATTGCATTCAACTCACAGAGTTGAAGATTCCTTTTGAAACAGCAGTTTCGAAACACTCTTTCTGTGGGATCCGCAAGGGGATATTTGGACCTCTTTGAAGCTTTCGTTGGAAACGGGATAATCTTCACCTAAAAGCTAAACGGAAGCATTCTCAGAAACTTCTTTGGGATGTTTGCATTCACCTCACAGAGTTGAACTTTCCCTTTGATAGCGCAGCTTTGACACACTTTTTCTACAATGTGCAAGTGGCTATTTAGCGGGCTTGGAGGACTGTGTTGGAAAAGGAAATATCTTCTCCTAAAAACGACATAGAAGCATTCTCAGAAACTGCTCTGTGATGATTGCATTCAACTCCCAGAGTTGAACATTCCTTTTGATAGAGCAGTTTGCAAACACTCTTTTTGTAGAATCTGCAAGTGGAGATTTGGACCGCTTTGAGGCCTGTGGTAGTGAAGGAAAGAACTTCATATAAAAAACAGACGGTAGCACTCTCAGAAAATTCTTTGTGACGATGGAGTTTAACTCAGGGAGCTGAACATTCGTTATGATGGAGCAGTTTCCAAACACACGTTTTGTAGAATCTGCAAGGGGATATTTGGACCTCTCTGAGGATTTCGTTGGAAACGGGATCAACTTCCCATAACTGAACGGAAGCAAACTCAGAACATTCCTTGTGATGTTTGTATTCAACTCACAGAGTTGAACCTTCCTTTGATAGTTCAGGTTTGCAACACCCTTGTAGTAGAATCTGCAAGTGTATATTTTGACCACTTTGTAGCCTTCGTTTGAAACGTCTATATCTTCACATCAAACCTAGACAGAAGCATTCTCAGAAAGTTTTCTGCGATGACTGCATTCAACTCACAGAGTTGAACAATCCTTCTGATGGAGCAGTTTTGAAACCCTCTTTCTTTGGAATCTGCAAGGGGATATGTGGACCTCTTTGAAGATTTCACTGGAAACGGGATCATCTTCACATAAAAACTAAACAGAAGCATTCTCGGAAACTATTTTGTGTTGTTTGTATTCAACTCCCAGAGTTGAACTTTCCTTTTGAAAGAGCAGCTATGAAACACTCTTTTTCGAGAATCTGCAAGTGGACGTTTGGAGGGCTTTGAGGCCTGTGGTGGAAAAGGAAATATCTTCACACAAAAACCAGATAGAAGCATTCTCAGAAACTACTTTGTGAGGATGGCATTCAACTCATGGAGTTGAACAATCCTATTGATAGAGCAGATTGGAATCACTCTTTTTGTAGAATCTGCAAATGGAGATTTGGACTGCTTTGAGGCCTACGGTAGTACAGGAATGAAGTTCATATAAAAGGCAAACGGAAGCATTCTCAGAATATTCTTTGTGATGATGGAGTTTCACTCACAGAGCTGAACATGCCTTTTGATGGAGCAGTTTCCAAATACACTTTTGGTAGAATCTGCAGGTGGATATTTGGAGCTCCCTGAGGATTTCGTTGGAAACGGGAATAATTTCCCATAACTAAACACAAACACTCTGAGAAAGTTCTTCATGATGAATGCATTTAACTCGCAGAGATGAACCTGCCTTTGAGAGTTCAGGTTCGAAACACTCTTTCTGTATAATCTGCAAGTGGATATTTGGACCACTGGGTGGCCTTCGTTCGAAACGCGTATATGTTCACGTAAAAACTAAAGAGAAGCATTCTCAGAAACTTCTGAGTGATGATTGCATTCAAGTCACACAGTTGAACCCTCCTTTTGATGGAGCAGTTTTGAAACTGTCTTTTTGTAGAATCTGTAAGTGGATACGTGGACCTCTTTGAAGATTTCTTTGGAAACGGGAATATTTCCACAGAAAAACTAAACTGAAGCATTCTCAGAAACTGCTTTGTGATGTTTGTGTTCGAGCCACAGAGTTTAACATTGCTTTTCATAGAGCAGTTTTGAAATATTCTTTTGGCAGAATCTGCAAGTGGACATTTGGAGCGCTTTCAGGCCTGTGGTGGAAAAGGCCTGAAAGCCTTTTCCTTTATCTTCACAGGAAGACGAGAGAGAAGCATTGTCAGAAACTTCTTTGTGATGATTGCATTCAACTCACAGAGTTGAAGATTCCTTTTGAAACAGCAGTTTCGAAACACTCTTTCTGTGGGATCCGCAAGGGGATATTTGGACCTCTTTGAAGGTTTCGTTGGAAACGGGATAATCTTCACCTAAAAGCTAAACGGAAGCATTCTCAGAAACTTCTTTGGGATGTTTGCATTCACCTCACAGAGTTGAACTTTCCCTTTGATAGCGCAGCTTTGACACACTTTTTCTACAATGTGCAAGTGGCTATTTAGCGGGCTTGGAGGACTGTGTTGGAAAAGGAAATATCTTCTCCTAAAAACGACATAGAAGCATTCTCAGAAACTGCTCTGTGATGATTGCATTCAACTCCCAGAGTTGAACATTCCTTTTGATAGAGCAGTTTGCAAACACTCTTTTTGTAGAATCTGCAAGTGGAGATTTGGACCGCTTTGAGGCCTGTGGTAGTGAAGGAAAGAACTTCATATAAAAACCAGACGGTAGCACTCTCAGAAAATTCTTTGTGACGATGGAGTTTAACTCAGGGAGCTGAACATTCGTTATGATGGAGCAGTTTCCAAACACACGTTTTGTAGAATCTGCAAGGGGATATTTGGACCTCTCCTGAGGATTTCGTTGGAAACGGGATCAACTTCCCATAACTGAACGGAAGCAAACTCAGAACATTCTTTGTGATGTTTGTATTCAACTCACAGAGTTGAACCTTCCTTTGATAGTTCAGGTTTGCAACACCCTTGTAGTAGAATCTGCAAGTGTATATTTTGACCACTTTGTAGCCTTCGTTTGAAACGTCTATATCTTCACATCAAACCTAGACAGAAGCATTCTCAGAAAGTTTTCTGCGATGACTGCATTCAACTCACAGAGTTGAGCAATCCTTTTGATGGAGCAGTTTTGAAACCCTCTTTCTTTGGAATCTGCAAGGGGATATGTGGACCTCTTTCAAGATTTCACTGGAAACGGGATCATCTTCACTTAAGAACTAAACAGAAGCATTCTCGGAAACTACTTTGTGATGTTTGTATTCAACTCCCAGAGTTGAACTTTCCTTTTGAAAGAGCAGCTATGAAACACTCTTTTTCGAGAATCTGCAAGCGGACGTTTGGAGGGCTTTGAGGCCTGCGGTGGAAAAGGAAATATCTTCCCATAAAAACTAGATAGAAGCATTCTCAGAAACGACTTTGTGAGGATGGCATTCAACTCATGGAGTTGAACAATCCTATTGATAGAGCAGATTGGAATCACTCTTTTTGTAGAATCTGCAAATGGAGATTTGGACTGCTTTGAGGCCTACGGTAGTATAGGAAGGAACTTCATATAAAAGGCAAACGGAAGCATTCTCAGAATATTCTTTGTCATGATGGAGTTTCACTCACAGAGCTGAACATGCCTTTTGATGGAGCAGTTTCCAAATACACTTTTGGTAGAATCTGCAGGTGGATATTTGGACCTGTCGGAGGATTTCGTTGGAAACGGGAATAATTTCCCATAACTAAACACAAACACTCTGAGAAAGTTCTTCATGATGAATGCATTTAACTCGCAGAGATGAACCTGCCTTTGAGAGTTCAGGTTCGAAACACTCTTTCTGTAGAATCTGCAAGTGGATATTTGGACCACTGGCTGGCCTTCGTTCGAAACGGGTATATGTTCACGTAAAAACTAAAGAGAAGCGTTCTCAGAAACTTCTGAGTGATGATTGCATTCAAGTCACACAGGTGAACCCTCCTTTTGATTGAGCAGTTTTGAAACTGTCTTTTTGTAGAATCTGTAAGTGGATGTGTGGACCTCTTTGAAGATTTCTTTGGAAACGGGAATATTTCCACAGAAAAACTAAACTGAAGCATTCTCAGAAACTGCTTTGTGATGTTTGTGTTCGAGCCACAGAGTTTAACATTGCTTTTCATAGAGCAGTTTTGAAATATTCTTTTGGCAGAATCTGCAAGTGGACATTTGGAGCACTTTCAGGCCTGTGGTGGAAAAGGCCTGAAAGCCTTTTCCTTTATCTTCACAGAAAGACGAGAGAGAAGCATTGTCAGAAACTTCTTTGTGATGATTGCATTCAACTCACAGAGTTGAAGATTCCTTTTGAAACAGCAGTTTCGAAACACTCTTTCTGTGGGATCCGCAAGGGGATATTTGGACCTCTTTGAAGATTTCGTTGCCAACGGGATAATCTTCACTTAAAAGCAAAACGGAAGCATTCTCAGAAACTTCTTTGGGATGTTTGCATTCACCTCACAGAGTTGAACTTTCCCTTTGATAGCGCAGCTTCGACACACTTTTTCTATAATGTGCAAGTGGATATGTAGCGGGCTTGGAGGACTGTGTTGGAAAAGGAAATATCTTCTCCTAAAAACGACATAGAAGCATTCTCAGAAACTGCTCTGTGATGATTGCATTCAACTCCCAGAGTTGAACATTCCTTTTGATAGAGCAGTTTGCAAACACTCTTTTTGTAGAATCTGCAAGTGGAGATTTGGACCGCTTTGAGGCCTGTGGTAGTAAAGGAAAGAACTTCATATAAAAACTAGACGGTAGCACTCTCAGAAAATTCTTTGTGACGATGGAGTTTAACTCAGGGAGCTGAACATTCGTTATGATGGAGCAGTTTCCAAACACACGTTTTGTAGAATCTGTGAGGGGATATTTGGACCTCTCTGAGGATTTCGTTGGAAACGGGATCAACTTCCCATAACTGAACTGGAAGCAAACTCAGAACATTCTTTGTGATGTTTGTATTCAACTCACAGAGTTGAACCTTCCTTTGATAGTTCAGGTTTGCAACACCCTTGTAGTAGAATCTGCAAGTGTATATTTTGACCACTTTGTAGCCTTCGTTTGAAACGTCTATATCTTCACATCAAACCTAGACAGAAGCATTCTCAGAAAGTTTTCTGCGATGACTGCATTCAACTCACAGAGTTGAACAATCCTTCTGATGGAGCAGTTTTGAAACCCTCTTTCTTTGGAATCTGCAAGGGGATATGTGGACCTCTTTGAAGATTTCACTGGAAACGGGATCATCTTCACATAAAAACTAAACAGGAAGCATTCTCGGAAACTACTTTGTGATGTTTGTATTCAACTCCCAGAGTTGAACTTTCCTTTTGAAAGAGCAGCTATGAAACACTCTTTTTCGAGAATCTGCAAGTGGACGTTTGGAGGGCTTTGAGGACTGTGGTGGAAAAGGAAATATCTTCACACAAAAACCAGATAGAAGCATTCTCAGAAACTACTTTGTGAGGATGGCATTCAACTCATGGAGTTGAACAATCCTATTGATAGAGCAGATTGGAATCACTCTTTTTATAGAATCTGCAAATGGAGATTTGGACTGCTTTGAGGCTTACGGTAGTACAGGAAGGAACTTCATATAAAAGGCAAACGGAAGCATTCTCAGAATATTCTTTGTGATGATGGAGTTTCACTCACAGAGCTGAACATGCCTTTTGATGGAGCAGTTTCCAAATACACTTTTGGTAGAATCTGCAGGTGGATATTTGGAGCTCTCTGAGGATTTCGTTGGAAACGGGAATAATTTCCCATAACTAAACACAAACACTCTGAGAAAGTTCTTCATGATGAATGCATTTAACTCGCAGAGATGAACCTGCCTTTGAGAGTTCAGGTTCGAAACACTCTTTCTGTATAATCTGCAAGTGGATATTTGGACCACTGGGTGGCCTTCGTTCGAAACGGGTATATGTTCACGTAAAAACTAAAGAGAAGCATTCTCAGAAAACTTCTGAGTGATGATTGCATTCAAGTCACACAGTTGAACCCTCCTTTTGATGGAGCAGTTTTGAAACTGTCTTTTTGTAGAATCTGTAAGTGGATACGTGGACCTCTTTGAAGATTTCTTTGGAAACGGGAATATTTCCACAGAAAAACTAAACTGAAGCATTCTCAGAAACTGCTTTGTGATGTTTGTGTTCGAGCCACAGAGTTTAACATTGCTTTTCATAGAGCAGTTTTGAAATATTCTTTTCGCAGAATCTGCAAGTGGACATTTGGAGCGCTTTCAGGCCTGTGGTGGAAAAGGCCTGAAAGCCTTTTCCTTTATCTTCACAGAAAGACGAGAGAGAAGCATTGTCAGAAACTTCTTTGTGATGATTGCATTCAACTCACAGAGTTGAAGATTCCTTTTGAAACAGCAGTTTCGAAACACTCTTTCTGTGGGATCCGCAAGGGGATATTTGGACCTCTTTGAAGGTTTCGTTGGAAACGGGATAATCTTCACCTAAAAGCTAAACGGAAGCATTCTCAGAAACTTCTTTGGGATGTTTGCATTCACCTCACAGAGTTGAACTTTCCCTTTGATAGCGCAGCTTTGACACACTTTTTCTACAATGTGCAAGTGGCTATTTAGCGGGCTTGGAGGACTGTGTTGGAAAAGGAAATATCTTCTCCTAAAAACGACATAGAAGCATTCTCAGAAACTGCTGTGTGATGATTGCATTCAACTCCCAGAGTTGAACATTCCTTTTGATAGAGCAGTTTGCAAACACTCTTTTTGTAGAATCTGCAAGTGGAGATTTGGACCGCTTTGAGGTCTGTGGTAGTGAAGGAAAGAGCTTCATATAAAAACCAGACGGTAGCACTCTCAGAAAATTCTTTGTGACGATGGAGTTTAACTCAGGGAGCTGAACATTCGTTATGATGGAGCAGTTTCCAAACACACGTTTTGTAGAATCTGCAAGGGGATATTTGGACCTCTCTGAGGATTTCGTTGGAAACGGGATCAACTTCCCATAACTGAACGGAAGCAAACTCAGAACATTCTTTGTGATGTTTGTATTCAACTCACAGAGTTGAACCTTCCTTTGATAGTTCAGGTTTGCAACACCCTTGTAGTAGAATCTGCAAGTGTATATTTTGACCACTTTGTAGCCTTCGTTTGAAACGTCTATATCTTCACATCAAACCTAGACAGAAGCATTCTCAGAAAGTTTTCTGCGATGACTGCATTCAACTCACAGAGTTGAACAATCCTTCTGATGGAGCAGTTTTGAAACCCTCTTTCTTTGGAATCTGCAAGGGGATATGTGGACCTCTTTGAAGATTTCACTGGAAACGGGATCATCTTCACATAAAAACTAAACAGAAGCATTCTCGGAAACTACTTTGTGATGTTTGTATTCAACTCCCAGAGTTGAACTTTCCTTTTGAAAGAGCAGCTATGAAACACTCTTTTTTGAGAATCTGCAAGCGGACGTTTGGAGGGCTTTGAGGCCTGTGGTGGAAAAGGAAATATCTTCACATTAAAACTAGATAGAAGCATTCTCAGAAACGACTTTGTGAGGATGGCATTCAACTCATGGAGTTGAACAATCCTATTGATAGAGCAGATTGGAATCAGTCTTTTTGTAGAATCTGCAAATGGAGATTTGGACTGCTTTGTGGCCTATGGTAGTATAGGAAGGAACTTCATATAAAAGGCAAACGGAAGCATTCTCAGAATATTCTTTGTGATGATGGAGTTTCACTCACAGAGCTGAACATGCCTTTTGATGGAGCAGTTTCCAAATACACTTTTGGTAGAATCTGCAGGTGGATATTTGGAGCTCTCTGAGGATTTCGTTGGAAACGGGAATAATTTCCCATAACTAAACACAAACACGCTGAGAAAGTTCTTCATGATGAATGCATTTAACTCGCAGTGATGAACCTGCCTTTGAGAGTTCAGGTTCGAAACACTCTTTCTGTAGAATCTGCAAGTGGATATTTGGACCACTGGGTGGCCTTCGTTCGAAACGGGTATATGTTCACGTAAAAACTAAAGAGAAGCATTCTCAGAAACTTCTGAGTGATGATTGCATTCAAGTCACACAGTTGAACCCTCCTTTTGATGGAGCAGTTTTGAAACTGTCTTTTTGTAGAATCTGTAAGTGGATACGTGGACCTCTTTGAAGATTTCTTTGGAAACGGGAATATTTCCACAGAAAAACTAAACTGAATCATTCTCAGAAACTGCTTTGTGATGTTTGTGTTCGAGCCACAGAGTTTAACATTGCTTTTCATAGAGCAGTTTTGAAATATTCTTTTCGCAGAATCTGCAAGTGGACATTTGGAGCGCTTTCAGGCCTGTGGTGGAAAAGGCCTGAAAGCCTTTTCCTTTATCTTCACAGAAAGACGAGAGAGAAGCATTGTCAGAAACTTCTTTGTGATGATTGCATTCAACTCACAGAGTTGAAGATTCCTTTTGAAACAGCAGTTTCGAAACACTCTTTCTGTGGGATCCGCAAGGGGATATTTGGACCTCTTTGAAGGTTTCGTTGGAAACGGGATAATCTTCACCTAAAAGCTAAACGGAAGCATTCTCAGAAACTTCTTTGGGATGTTTGCATTCACCTCACAGAGTTGAACTTTCCCTTTGATAGCGCAGCTTTGACACACTTTTTCTACAATGTGCAAGTGGCTATTTAGCGGGCTTGGAGGACTGTGTTGGAAAAGGAAATATCTTCTCCTAAAAACGACATAGAAGCATTCTCAGAAACTGCTCTGTGATGATTGCATTCAACTCCCAGAGTTGAACATTCCTTTTGATAGAGCAGTTTGCAAACACTCTTTTTGTAGAATCTGCAAGTGGAGATTTGGACCGCTTTGAGGCCTGTGGTAGTGAACGAAAGAACTTCATATAAAAACCAGACGGTAGCACTCTCAGAAAATTCTTTGTGACGATGGAGTTTAACTCAGGGAGCTGAACATTCGTTATGATGGAGCAGTTTCCAAACACACGTTTTGTAGAATCTGCAAGGGGATATTTGGACCTCTCTGAGGATTTCGTTGGAAACGGGATCAACTTCCCATAACTGAACGGACAAACTCAGAACATTCTTTGTGATGTTTGTATTCAACTCACAGAGTTGAACCTTCCTTTGATAGTTCAGGTTTGCAACACCCTTGTAGTAGAATCTGCAAGTGTATATTTTGACCACTTTGTAGCCTTCGTTTGAAACGTCTATATCTTCACATCAAACCTAGACAGAAGCATTCTCAGAAAGTTTTCTGCGATGACTGCATTCAACTCACAGAGTTGAACAATCCTTCTGATGGAGCAGTTTTGAAACCCTCTTTCTTTGGAATCTGCAAGGGGATATGTGGACCTCTTTGAAGATTTCACTGGAAACGGGATCATCTTCACATAAAAACTAAACAGAAGCATTCTCGGAAACTATTTTGTGATGTTTGTATTCAACTCCCAGAGTTGAACTTTCCTTTTGAAAGAGCAGCTATGAAACACTCTTTTTCGAGAATCTGCAAGTGGACGTTTGGAGGGCTTTGAGGCCTGTGGTGGAAAAGGAAATATCTTCACACAAAAACCAGATAGAAGCATTCTCAGAAACTACTTTGTGAGGATGGCATTCAACTCATGGAGTTGAACAATCCTATTGATAGAGCAGATTGGAATCACTCTTTTTATAGAATCTGCAAATGGAGATTTGGACTGCTTTGAGGCCTACGGTAGTACAGGAAGGAACTTCATATAAAAGGCAAACGGAAGCATTCTCAGAATATTCTTTGTGATGATGGAGTTTCACTCACAGAGCTGAACATGCCTTTTGAGATGGGAGCAGTTTCCAAATACACTTTTGGTAGAATCTGCAGGTGGATATTTGGAGCTCTCTGAGGATTTCGTTGGAAACGGGAATAATTTCCCATAACTAAACACAAACACTCTGAGAAAGTTCTTCATGATGAATGCATTTAACTAACAGAGATGAACCTGCCTTTGAGAGTTCAGGTTCGAAACACTCTTTCTGTAGAATCTGCAAGTGGATATTTGGACCACTGGGTGGCCTTCGTTCGAAACGGGTATATGTTCACGTAAAAACTAAAGAGAAGCATTCTCAGAAACTTCTGAGTGATGATTGCATTCAAGTCACACAGTTGAACCCTCCTTTTGATGGAGCAGTTTTGAAACTGTCTTTTTGTAGAATCTGTAAGTGCATACGTGGACCTCTTTGAAGATTTCTTTGGAAACGGGAATATTTCCACAGAAAAACTAAACTGAAGCATTCTCAGAAACTGCTTTGTGATGTTTGTGTTCGAGCCACAGAGTTTAACATTGCTTTTCATAGAGCAGTTTTGAAATATTCTTTTGGCAGAATCTGCAAGTGGACATTTGGAGCGCTTTCAGGCCTGTGGTGGAAAAGGCCTGAAAGCCTTTTCCTTTATCTTCACAGAAAGACGAGAGAGAAGCATTGTCAGAAACTTCTTTGTGATGATTGCATTCAACCCACAGAGTTGAAGATTCCTTTTGAAACAGCAGTTTCGAAACACTCTTTCTGTGGGATCCGCAAGGGGATATTTGGACCTCTTTGAAGGTTTCGTTGGAAACGGGATAATCTTCACCTAAAAGCTAAACGGAAGCATTCTCAGAAACTTCTTTGGGATGTTTGCATTCACCTCACAGAGTTGAACTTTCCCTTTGATAGCGCAGCTTTGACACACTTTTTCTACAATGTGCAAGTGGCTATTTAGCGGGCTTGGAGGACTGTGTTGGAAAAGGAAATATCTTCTCCTAAAAACGACATAGAAGCATTCTCAGAAACTGCTCTGTGATGATTGCATTCAACTCCCAGAGTTGAACATTCCTTTTGATAGAGCAGTTTGCAAACACTCTTTTTGTAGAATCTGCAAGTGGAGATTTGGACCGCTTTGAGGTCTGTGGTAGTGAAGGAAAGAACTTCATATAAAAACCAGACGGTAGCACTCTCAGAAAATTCTTTGTGACGATGGAGTTTAACTCAGGGAGCTGAACATTCGTTATGATGGAGCAGTTTCCAAACACACGTTTTGTAGAATCTGCAAGGGGATATTTGGACCTCTCTGAGGATTTCGTTGGAAACGGGATCAAATTCCCATAACTGAACGGAAGCAAACTCAGAACATTCTTTGTGATGTTTGTATTCAACTGACGGAGTTGAACCTTCCTTTGATAGTTCAGGTTTGCAACACCCTTGTAGTAGAATCTGCAAGTGTATATTTTGACCACTTTGTAGCCTTCGTTTGAAACGTCTATATCTTCACATCAAACCTAGACAGAAGCATTCTCAGAAAGTTTTCTGCGATGACTGCATTCAACTCACAGAGTTGAACAATCCTTCTGATGGAGCAGTTTTGAAACCCTCTTTCTTTGGAATCTGCAAGGGGATATGTGGACCTCTTTGAAGATTTCACTGGAAACGGGATCATCTTCACATAAAAACTAAACAGAAGCATTCTCGGAAACTACTTTGTGATGTTTGTATTCAACTCCCAGAGTTGAACTTTCCTTTTGAAAGAGCAGCTATGAAACACTCTTTTTCGAGAATCTGCAAGTGGACGTTTGGAGGGCTTTGAGGCCTGTGGTGGAAAAGGAAATATCTTCACATAAAAACTAGATAGAAAGCATTCTCAGAAACTACTTTGTGAGGATGGCATTCAACTCATGGAGTTGAACAATCCTATTGATAGAGCAGATTGGAATCACTCTTTTTGTAGAATCTGCAAATGGAGATTTGGACTGCTTTGAGGCCTACGGTAGTACAGGAAGGAACTTCATATAAAAGGCAAACGGAAGCATTCTCAGAATATTCTTTGTGATGATGGAGTTTCACTCACAGAGCTGAACATGCCTTTTGATGGAGCAGTTTCCAAATACACTTTTGGTAGAATCTGCAGGTGGATATTTGGAGCTCTCTGAGGATTTCTTTGGAAACGGGAATAATTTCCCATAACTAAACACAAACACTCTGAGAAAGTTCTTCATGATGAATGCATTTAACTCGCAGAGATGAACCTGCCTTTGAGAGTTCAGGTTCGAAACACTCTTTCTGTAGAATCTGCAAGTGGGTATTTGGACCACTGGGTGGCCTTCGTTCGAAACGGGTATATGTTCACGTAAAAACTAAAGAGAAGCATTCTCAGAAACTTCTGAGTGATGATTGCATTCAAGTCACACAGTTGAACCCTCCTTTTGATGGAGCAGTTTTGAAACTGTCTTTTTGTAGAATCTGTAAGTGGATACGTGGACCTCTTTGAAGATTTCTTTGGAAACGGGAATATTTCCACAGAAAAACTAAACTGAAGCATTCTCAGAAACCGCTTTGTGATGTTTGTGTTCGAGCCACAGAGTTTAACATTGCTTTTCATAGAGCAGTTTTGAAATATTCTTTTCGCAGAATCTGCAAGTGGACATTTGGAGCGCTTTCAGGCCTGTGGTGGAAAAGGCCTGAAAGCCTTTTCCTTTATCTTCACAGAAAGACGAGAGAGAAGCATTGTCAGAAACTTCTTTGTGATGATTGCATTCAACTCACAGAGTTGAAGATTCCTTTTGAAACAGCAGTTTCGAAACACTCTTTCTGTGGGATCCGCAAGGGGATATTTGGACCTCTTTGAAGGTTTCGTTGGAAACGGGATAATCTTCACCTAAAAGCTAAACGGAAGCATTCTCAGAAACTTCTTTGGGATGTTTGCATTCACCTCACAGAGTTGAACTTTCCCTTTGATAGCGCAGCTTTGACACACTTTTTCTACAATGTGCAAGTGGCTATTTAGCGGGCTTGGAGGACTGTGTTGGAAAAGGAAATATCTTCTCCTAAAAACGACATAGAAGCATTCTCAGAAACTGCTCTGTGATGATTGCTTTCAACTCCCAGAGTTGAACATTCCTTTTGATAGAGCAGTTTGCAAACACTCTTTTTGTAGAATCTGCAAGTGGAGATTTGGACCGCTTTGAGGCCTGTGGTAGTAAAGGAAAGAACTTCATATAAAAACTAGACGGTAGCACTCTCAGAAAATTCTTTGTGACGATGGAGTTTAACTCAGAGAGCTGAACATTCGTTATGATGGAGCAGTTTCCAAACACACGTTTTGTAGAATCTGCAAGGGGATATTTGGACCTCTCTGAGGATTTCGTTGGAAACGGTATCAATTTCCCATAACTGAACGGAAGCAAACTCAGAACATTTTTTGTGATGGTTGCATTCATCTCACAGAGTTGAACCTTCCTTTGATAGTTGAGGTTTGCATCACCCTTGTAGTAGAATCTGCAAGTGTATATTTTGACCACTTTGTAGCCTTCGTTTGAAACGTCTATATCTTCACATCAAACCTAGACAGAAGCATTCTCAGAAAGTTTTCTGTGATGACTGCATTCAACTCACAGAGTTGCACAATCCTTTTGATGGAGCAGTTTTGAAACCCTCTTTCTTTGGAATCTGCAAGGGGATATATGGACCTCTTTGAAGATTTCACTGGAAACGGGATCATCTTCACATAACAACTAAACAGAAGCATTCTCGGAAACTACTTTGTGATGTTTGTATTCAACTCCCAGAGTTGAACTTTCCTTTTGAAAGAGCAGCTATGAAACACTCTTTTTCGAGAATCTGCAAGTGGACGTTTGGAGGGCTTTGAGGCCTGTGGTGGAAAAGGAAATATCTTCACATAAAAACTAGATAGAAGCATTCTCAGAAACTACTTTGTGAGGATGGCATTCAACTCATGGAGTTGAACAATCCTATTGATAGAGCAGATTGGAATCACTCTTTTTGTAGAATCTGCAAATGGAGATTTGGACTGCTTTGAGGCCTACGGTCGTATAGGAAGGAACTTCATATAAAAGGCAAACGGAAGCATTCTCAGAATATTCTTTGTGATGATGGAGTTTCACTCACAGAGCTGAACATGCCTTTTGATGGAGCAGTTTCCAAATACACTTTTGGTAGAATCTGCAGGTGGATATTTGGAGCTCTTTGAGGATTTCGTTGGAAACGGGAATAATTTCCCAAAACTAAACACAAACACGCTGAGAAAGTTCTTCATGATGAATGCATTTAACTCGCAGAGATGAACCTGCCTTTGAGAGTTCAGGTTCGAAACACTCTTTCTGTATAATCTGCAAGTGGATATTTGGACCACTGGGTGGCCTTCGTTCGAAACGGGTATATGTTCACGTAAAAACTAAAGAGAAGCATTCTCAGAAACTTCTGAGTGATGATTGCATTCAAGTCACACAGTTGAACCCTCCTTTTGATGGAGCAGTTTTGAAACTGTCTTTTTGTAGAATCTGTAAGTGGATACGTGGACCTCTTTGAAGATTTCTTTGGAAACGGGAATATTTCCACAGAAAAACTAAACTGAAACATTCTCAGAAACCGCTTTGTGATGTTTGTGTTCCAGCCACAGAGTTTAACATTGCTTTTCATAGAGCAGTTTTGAAATATTCTTTTCGCAGAATCTGCAAGTGGACATTTGGAGCGCTTTCAGGCCTGTGGTGGAACAGGCCTGAAAGCCTTTTCCTTTATCTTCACAGAAAGGCGAGAGAGAAGAATTGTCAGAAACTTCTTTGTGATGATTGCATTCAACTCACAGAGTTGAAGATTCCTTTTGAAACAGCAGTTTCGAAACACTCTTTCTGTGGGATCCGCAAGGGGATATTTGGACCTCTTTGAAGATTTCGTTGGAAACGGGATAATCTTCACCTAAAAGCTAAACGGAAGCATTCTCAGAAACTTCTTTGGGATGTTTGCATTCACCTCACAGAGTTGAACTTTCCCTTTGATAGCGCAGCTTCGACCCACTTTTTCTACAATGTGCAAGTGGATATTTAGCGGGCTTGGAGGACTGTGTTGGAAAAGGAAATATCTTCTCCTAAAAACAACATAGAAGCATTCTCAGGAACTGCTCTGTGATGATTGCATTCAACTCCCATAGTTGAACATTCCTTTTGATAGAGCAGTTTGCAAACACTCTTTTTGTAGAATCTGCAAGTGGAGATTTGGACCGCTTTGAGGCCTGTGGTAGTAAAGGAAAGAACTTCATATAAAAACTAGACGGTAGCACTCTCAGAAAAAACTTTGTGACGATGGAGTTTAACTCAGAGAGCTGAACATTCGTTATGATGGAGCAGTTCCCAAACACACGTTTTGCAGAATCTGCAAGGGGATATTTGGACCTCTCTGAGGATTTCGTTGGAAACGGGATCAACTTCCCATAACTGAACGGAAGCAAACTCAGAACATTCTTTGTGATGTTTGTATTCAACTCACAGAGTTGAACCTTCCTTTGATAGTTCAGGTTTGCAACACCCTTGTAGTAGAATCTGCAAGTGTATATTTTGACCACTTTGTAGCCTTCGTTTGAAACGTCTATATCTTCACATCAAACCTAGAAAGAAGCATTCTCAGAAAGTTTTCTGCGATGACTGCATTCAACTCACAGAGTTGAACAATCCTTCTGATGGAGCAGTTTTGAAACCCTCTTTCTTTGGAATCTGCAAGGGGATATGTGGACCTCTTTGAAGATTTCACTGGAAACGGGATCATCTTCACATAAAAACTAAACAGAAGCATTCTCGGAAACTACTTTGTGATGTTTGTATTCAACTCCCAGAGTTGAACTTTCCTTTTGAAAGAGCAGCTATGAAACACTCTTTTTCGAGAATCTGCAAGTGGACGTTTGGAGGGCTTTGAGGCCTGTGGTGGAAAAGGAAATATCTTCACATAAAAACTAGATAGAAGCATTCTCAGAAACGACTTTGTGAGGATGGCATTCAACTCATGGAGTTGAACAATCCCATTGAGAGAGCAGATTGGAATCACTCTTTTTGTAGAATCTGCAAATGGAGATTTGGACTGCTTTGGGGCCTACGGTAGTATAGGAAGGAACTTCATATAAAAGGCAAACGGAAGCATTCTCAGAATATTCTTTGTGATGATGGAGTTTCACTCACAGAGCTGAACATGCCTTTTGATGGAGCAGTTTCCAAATACACTTTTGGTAGAATCTGCAGGTGGATATTTGGACCTCTCTGAGGATTTCGTTGGAAACGGGAATAATTTCCCATAACTAAACACAAACACTCTGAGAAAGTTCTTCATGATGAATGCATTTAACTCGCAGAGATGAACTTGCCTTTGAGAGTTCAGGTTCGAAACACTCTTTCTGTAGAATCTGCAAGTGGATATTTGGACCACTGGCTGGCCTTCGTTCGAAACGGGTATATGTTCACGTAAAAACTAAAGAGAAGCATTCTCAGAAACTTCTGAGTGATGATTGCATTCAAGTCACACAGTTGAACCCGCCTTTTGATTGAGCAGTTTTGAAACTGTCTTTTTGTAGAATCTGTAAGTGGATACGTGGACCTCTTGGAAGATTTCTTTGGAAACGGGAATATTTCCACAGAAAAACTAAACTGAAGCATTCTCAGAAACTGCTTTGTGATGTTGGTGTTCGAGCCGCAGAGTTTAACATTGCTTTTCATAGAGCACTTTTGAAATATTCTTTTGGCAGAATCTGCAAGTGGACATTTAGAGCGTTTTCAGGCCTGTGGTGGAAAAGGCCTGAAAGCCTTTTCCTTTATCTTCACAGAAAGACGAGAGAGAAGCATTGTCAGAAACTTCTTTGTGATGATTGCATTCAACTCACAGAGTTGAAGATTCCTTTTGAAACAGCAGTTTCGAAACACTCTTTCTGTGGGATCCGCAAGGGGATATTTGGACCTCTTTGAAGATTTCGTTGGAAACGGGATAATCTTCACCTAAAAGCTAAACGGAAGCATTCTCAGAAACTTCTTTGGGATGTTTGCATTCACCTCACAGAGTTGAACTTTCCCTTTGATAGCGCAGCTTCGACACACTTTTTCTACAATGTGCAAGTGGCTATTTAGCGGGCTTGGAGGACTGTGTTGGAAAAGGAAATATCTTCTCCTAAAAACGACATAGAAGCATTCTCAGAAACTGCTCTGTGATGATTGCATTCAACTCCCAGAGTTGAACATTCCTTTTGATAGAGCAGTTTGCAAACACTCTTTATGTAGAATCTGGAAGTGGAGATTTGGACCGCTTTGAGGCCTGGGGTAGTGAAGGAAAGAGCTTCATATAAAAACCAGACGGTAGCACTCTCAGAAAATTCTTTGTGACGATGGAGTTTAACTCAGGGAGCTGAACATTCGTTATGATGGAGCAGTTTCCAAACACACGTTTTGTAGAATCTGCGAGGGGATATTTGGACCTCTCTGAGGATTTCTTTGGAAACGGGATCAACTTCCCATAACTGAACGGAAGCAAACTCAGAACATTCTTTGTGATGTTTGTATTCAACTCACAGAGTTGAACCTTCCTTTGATAGTTCAGGTTTGCAACACCCTTGTAGTAGAATCTGCAAGTGTATATTTTGACCACTTTGTAGCCTTCGTTTGAAACGTCTATATCTTCACATCAAACCTAGACAGAAGCATTCTCAGAAAGTTTTCTGCGATGACTGCATTCAACTCACAGAGTTGAACAATCCTTCTGATGGAGCAGTTTTGAAACCCTCTTTCTTTGGAATCTGCAAGGGGATATGTGGACCTCTTTGAAGATTTCACTGGAAACGGGATCATCTTCACATAAAAACTAAACAGAAAGCATTCTCGGAAACTACTTTGTGATGTTTGTATTCAACTCCCAGAGTTGAACTTTCCTTTTGAAAGAGCAGCTATGAAACACTCTTTTTCGAGAATCTGAAAGTGGACGTTTGGAGGGCTTTGAGGCCTGTGGTGGAAAAGGAAATATCTTCACATAAAAACTAGATAGAAGCATTCTCAGAAACGACTTTGTGAGGATGGCATTCAACTCATGGAGTTGAACAATCCTATTGATAGAGCAGATTGGAATCACTCTTTTTGTAGAATCTGCAAATGGAGATTTGGACTGCTTTGAGGCCTACGGTCGTATAGGAAGGAACTTCATATAAAAGGCAAACGGAAGCATTCTCAGAATATTCTTTGTGATGATGGAGTTTCACTCACAGAGCGGAACATGCCTTTTGATGGAGCAGTTTCCAAATCCACTTTTGGTAGAATCTGCAGGTGGATATTTGGAGCTCTCTGAGGATTTCGTTGGAAACGGGAATAATTTCCCATAACTAAACACAAACACTCTGAGAAAGTTCTTCATGATGAATGCATTTAACTCGCAGAGATGAACCTGCCTTTGAGAGTTCATGTTCGAAACACTCTTTCTGTAGAATCTGCAAGTGGATATTTGGACCACTGGGTGGCCTTCGTTCGAAAGGGGTATATGTTCACGTAAAAACTAAAGAGAAGCATTCTCAGAAACTTCTGAGTGATGATTGCATTCAAGTCACACAGTTGAACCCTCCTTTTGATGGAGCAGTTTTGAAACTGTCTTTTTGTAGAATCTGTAAGTGGATACGTGGACCTCTTTGAAGATTTCTTTGGAAACGGGAATATTTCCACAGAAAAACTAAACTGAAGCATTCTCAGAAACCGCTTTGTGATGTTTGTGTTCGAGCCACAGAGTTTAACATTGCGTTTCATAGAGCAGTTTTGAAATATTCTTTTGGCAGAATCTGCAAGTGGACATTTGGAGCGCTTTCAGGCCTGTGGTGGAAAAGGCCTGAAAGCCTTTTCCTTTATCTTCACAGAAAGACGAGAGAGAAGCATTGTCAGAAACTTCTTTGTGATGATTGCATTCAACTCACAGAGTTGAAGATTCCTTTTGAAACAGCAGTTTCGAAACACTCTTTCTGTGGGATCCGCAAGGGGATATTTGGACCTCTTTGAAGGTTTCGTTGGAAACGGGATAATCTTCACCTAAAAGCTAAACGGAAGCATTCTCAGAAACTTCTTTGGGATGTTTGCATTCACCTCACAGAGTTGAACTTTCCCTTTGATAGCGCAGCTTTGACACACTTTTTCTACAATGTGCAAGTGGCTATTTAGCGGGCTTGGAGGACTGTGTTGGAAAAGGAAATATCTTCTCCTAAAAACGACATAGAAGCATTCTCAGAAACTGCTCTGTGATGATTGCATTCAACTCCCAGAGTTGAACATTCCTTTTGATAGAGCAGTTTGCAAACACTCTTTTTGTAGAATCTGCAAGTGGAGATTTGGACCGCTTTGAGGCCTGTGGTAGTGAAGGAAAGAACTTCATATAAAAACCAGACGGTAGCACTCTCAGAAAATTCTTTGTGACGATGGAGTTTAACTCAGGGAGCTGAACATTCGTTATGATGGAGCAGTTTCCAAACACACGTTTTGTAGAATCTGCAAGGGGATATTTGGACCTCTCTGAGGATTTCGTTGGAAACGGGATCAACTTCCCATAACTGAACGGAAGCAAACTCAGAACATTCTTTGTGATGTTTGTATTCAACTCACAGAGTTGAACCTTCCTTTGATAGTTCAGGTTTGCAACACCCTTGTAGTAGAATCTGCAAGTGTATATTTTGACCACTTTGTAGCCTTCATTTGAAACGTCTATATCTTCACATCAAACCTAGACAGAAGCATTCTCAGAAAGTTTTCTGCGATGACTGCATTCAACTCACAGAGTTGAACAATCCTTTTGATGGAGCAGTTTTGAAACCCTCTTTCTTTGGAATCTGCAAGGGGATATGTGGACCTCTTTGAAGATTTCACTGGAAACGGGATCATCTTCACATAAGAACTAAACAGAAGCATTCTCGGAAACTACTTTGTGATGTTTGTATTCAACTCCCAGAGTTGAACTTTCCTTTTGAAAGAGCAGCTATGAAACACTCTTTTTCGAGAATCTGCAAGTGTACGTTTGGAGGGCTTTGGGGCCTGTGGTGGAAAAGGAAATATCTTCACATAAAAACTAGATAGAAGCATACTCAGAAACGACTTTGTGAGGATGGCATTCAACTCATGGAGCTGAACAATCCTATTGATAGAGCAGATTGGAATCACTCTTTTTGTAGAATCTGCAAATGGAGATTTGGACTGCTTTGAGGCCTACGGTAGTATAGGAAGGAACTTCATATAAAAGGCAAACGGAAGCATTCTCAGAATATTCTTTGTGATGATGGAGTTTCACTCACAGAGCTGAACATGCCTTTTGATGGAGCAGTTTCCAAATACACTTTTGGTAGAATCTGCAGGTGGATATTTGGACCTCTCTGAGGATTTCGTTGGAAACGGCAATAATTTCCCATAACTAAACACAAACACTCTGAGAAAGTTCTTCATGATGAATGCATTTAACTCGCAGAGATGAACCTGCCTTTGAGAGTTCAGGTTCGAAACACTCTTTCTGTAGAATCTGCAAGTGGATATTTGGACCACTGGGTGGCCTTCGTTCGAAACGGGTATATGTTCACCTAAAAACTAAAGAGAAGCATTCTCAGAAACTTCTGAGTGATGATTGCATTCAAGTCACACAGTTGAACCCTCCTTTTGATTGAGCAGTTTTGAAACTGTCTTTTTGTAGAATCTGTAAGTGGATACGTGGACCTCTTTGAAGATTTCTTTGGAAACGGGAATATTTCCACAGAAAAACTAAACTGAAGCATTCTCAGAAACTGCTTTGTGATGTTTGTGTTCGAGCCGCAGAGTTTAACATTGCTTTTCATAGAGCAGTTTTGAAATATTCTTTTGGCAGAATCTGCAAGTGGACATTTGGAGCGCTTTCAGGCCTGTGGTGGAAAAGGCCTGAAAGCCTTTTCCTTTATCTTCACAGAAAGACGAGAGAGAAGCATTGTCAGAAACTTCTTTGTGATGATTGCATTCAACTCACAGAGTTGAAGATTCCTTTTGAAACAGCAGTTTCGAAACACTCTTTCTGTGGGATCCGCAAGGGGATATTTGGACCTCTTTGAAGGTTTCGTTGGAAACGGGATAATCTTCACCTAAAAGCTAAACGGAAGCATTCTCAGAAACTTCTTTGGGATGTTTGCATTCACCTCACAGAGTTGAACTTTCCCTTTGATAGCGCAGCTTTGACACACTTTTTCTACAATGTGCAAGTGGCTATTTAGCGGGCTTGGAGGACTGTGTTGGAAAAGGAAATATCTTCTCCTAAAAACGACATAGAAGCATTCTCAGAAACTGCTCTGTGATGATTGCATTCAACTCCCAGAGTTGAACATTCCTTTTGATAGAGCAGTTTGCAAACACTCTTTTTGTAGAATCTGCAAGTGGAGATTTGGACCGCTTTGAGGCCTGTGGTAGTGAAGGAAAGAACTTCATATAAAAACCAGACGGTAGCAAACTCAGAACATTCTTTGTGATGTTTGTATTCAACTCACATAGTTGAACCTTCCTTTGATAGTTCAGGTTTGCAACACCCTTGTAGTAGAATCTGCAAGTGTATATTTTGACCACTTTGTAGCCTTCGTTTGAAACGTCTATATCTTCACATCAAACCTAGACAGAAGCATTCTCAGAAAGTTTTCTGCGATGACTGCATTCAACTCACAGAGTTGAACAATCCTTCTGATGGAGCAGTTTTGAAACCCTCTTTCTTTGGAATCTGCAAGGGGATATGTGGACCTCTTTGAAGATTTCACTGGAAACGGGATCATCTTCACATAAAAACTAAACAGAAGCATTCTCGGAAACTACTTTGTGATGTTTGTATTCAACTCCCAGAGTTGAACTTTCCTTTTGAAAGAGCAGCTATGAAACACTCTTTTTCGAGAATCTGCAAGTGGACGTTTGGAAGGCTTTGAGGCCTGTGGTGGAAAAGGAAATATCTTCACATAAAAACTAGATAGAAGCATTCTCAGAAACTACTTTGTGAGGATGGCATTCAACTCATGGAGTTGAACAATCCTATTGATAGAGCAGATTGGAATCACTCTTTTTGTAGAATCTGCAAATGGAGATTTGGACTGCTTTGAGGCCTACGGTCGTATAGGAAGGAACTTCATATAAAAGGCAAACGGAAGCATTCTCAGAATATTCTTTGTGATGATGGAATTTCACTCACAGAGCTGAACATGCCTTTTGATGGAGCAGTTTCCAAATACACTTTTGGTAGAATCTGCAGGTGGATATTTGGACCACTCTGAGGATTTCGTTGGAAACGGGAATAATTTCCCATAACTAAACACAAACACTCTGAGAAAGTTCTTCATGATGAATGCATTTAACTCGCAGAGATGAACCTGCCTTTGAGAGTTCAGGTTCGAAACACTCTTTCTGTATAATCTGCAAGTGGATATTTGGACCACTGGGTGGCCTTCGTTCGAAACGGGTATATGTTCACGTAAAAACTAAAGAGAAGCATTCTCAAAAACTTCTGAGTGATGATTGCATTCAAGTCACACAGTTGAACCCTCGTTTTGATTGAGCAGTTTTGAAACTGTGTTTTTGTAGAATCTGTAAGTGGATGCGTGGACCTCTTTGAAGATTTCTTTGGAAACGGGAATATTTCCACAGAAAAACTAAACTGAAGCATTCTCAGAAACTGCTTTGTGATGTTTGTGTTCGAGCCGCAGAGTTTAACATTGCTTTTCATAGAGCAGTTTTGAAATATTCTTTTGGCAGAATCTGCAAGTGGACATTTGGAGCGCTTTCAGGCCTGTGGTGGAAAAGGCCTGAAAGCCTTTTCCTTTATCTTCACAGAAAGACGAGAGAGAAGCATTGTCAGAAACTTCTTTGTGATGATTGCATTCAACTCACAGAGTTGAAGATTCCTTTTGAAACAGCAGTTTCGAAACACTCTTTCTGTGGGATCCGCAAGGGGATATTTGGACCTCTTTGAAGGTTTCGTTGGAAACGGGATAATCTTCACCTAAAAGCTAAACGGAAGCATTCTCAGAAACTTCTTTGGGATGTTTGCATTCACCTCACAGAGTTGAACTTTCCCTTTGATAGCGCAGCTTTGACACACTTTTTCTACAATGTGCAAGTGGCTATTTAGCGGGCTTGGAGGACTGTGTTGGAAAAGGAAATATCTTCTCCTAAAAACGACATAGAAGCATTCTCAGAAACTGCTCTGTGATGATTGCATTCAACTCCCAGAGTTGAACATTCCTTTTGATAGAGCAGTTTGCAAACACTCTTTTTGTAGAATCTGCAAGTGGAGATTTGGACCGCTTTGAGGCCAGTGGTAGTGAAGGAAAGAACTTCATATAAAAACCATACGGTAGCACTCTCAGAAAATTCTTTGTGACGATGGAGTTTAACTCAGGGAGCTGAACATTCGTTATGATGGAGCAGTTTCCAAACACACGTTTTGTAGAATCTGCAAGGGGATATTTGGACCTCTCTGAGGATTTCGTTGGAAACGGGATCAGCTTCCCATAACTGAACGGAAGCAAACTCAGAACATTCTTTGTGATGTTTGTATTCAACTCACAGAGTTGAACCTTCCTTTGATAGTTCAGGTTTGCAACACCCTTGTAGTAGAATCTGCAAGTGTATATTTTGACCACTTTGTAGCCTTCGTTTGAAACGTCTATATCTTCACATCAAACCTAGACAGAAGCATTCTCAGAACGTTTTCTGCGATGACTGCATTCAACTCACAGAGTTGAACAATCCTTTTGATGGAGCAGTTTTGAAACCCTCTTTCTTTGGAATCTGCAAGGGGATATGTGGACCTCTTTGAAGATTTCACTGGAAACGGGATCATCTTCACATAAGAACTAAACAGAAGCATTCTCGGAAACTACTTTGTGATGTTTGTATTCAACTCCCAGAGTTGAACTTTCCTTTTGAAAGAGCAGCTATGAAACACTCTTTTTCGAGAATCTGCAAGTGGACGTTTGGAGGGCTTTGAGGCCTGTGGTGGAAAAGGAAATATCTTCACATAAAAACTAGATAGAAGCATTCTCAGAAACGACTTTGTGAGGATGGCATTCAACTCATGGAGTTGAACAATCCTATTGATAGAGCAGATTGGAATCACTCTTTTTGTAGAATCTGCAAATGGAGATTTGGACTGCTTTGAGGCCTACGGTAGTATAGGAAGGAACTTCATATAAAAGGCAAACGGAAGCATTCTCAGAATATTCTTTGTGATGATGGAGTTTCACTCACAGAGCTGAACATGCCTTTTGATGGAGCAGTTTCCAAATACACTTTTGGTAGAATCTGCAGGTGGATATTTGGAGCTCTCTGAGGATTTCTTTGGAAACGGGAATAATTTCCCATAACTAAACACAAACACGCTGAGAAAGTTCTTCATGATGAATGCATTGAACTTGCAGAGATGAACCTGCCTTTGAGAGTTCAGGTTCGAAACACTCTTTCTGTAGAATCTGCAAGTGGATATTTGGACCACTGGCTGGCCTTCGTTCGAAACGGGTATATGTTCATGTAAAAACTAAAGAGAAGCATTCTCAGAAACTTCTGAGTGATGATTGCATTCAAGTCACACAGTTGAACCCTCCTTTTGATGGAGCAGTTTTGAAACTGTCTTTTTGTAGAATCTGTAAGTGGATACGTGGACCTCTTTGAAGATTTCTTTGGAAACGGGAATATTTCCACAGAAAAACTAAACTGAAGCATTCTCAGAAACCGCTTTGTGATGTTTGTGTTCGAGCCACAGAGTTTAACATTGCTTTTCATAGAGCAGTTTTGAAATATTCTTTTGGCAGAATCTGCAAGTGGACATTTGGAGCGCTTTCAGGCCTGTGGTGGAAAAGGCCTGAAAGCCTTTTCCTTTATCTTCACAGAAAGACGAGAGAGAAGCATTGTCAGAAACTTCTTTGTGATGATTGCATTCAACTCACAGAGTTGAAGATTCCTTTTGAAACAGCAGTTTCGAAACACTCTTTCTGTGGGATCCGCAAGGGGATATTTGGACCTCTTTGAAGCTTTCGTTGGAAACGGGATAATCTTCACCTAAAAGCTAAACGGAAGCATTCTCAGAAACTTCTTTGGGATGTTTGCATTCACCTCACAGAGTTGAACTTTCCCTTTGATAGCGCAGCTTTGACACACTTTTTCTACAATGTGCAAGTGGCTATTTAGCGGACTTGGAGGACTGTGTTGGAAAAGGAAATATCTTCTCCTAAAAACGACATAGAAGCATTCTCAGAAACTGCTCTGTGATGATTGCATTCAACTCCCAGAGTTGAACATTCCTTTTGATAGAGCAGTTTGCAAACACTCTTTTTGTAGAATCTGCAAGTGGAGATTTGGACCGCTTTGAGGCCTGTGGTAGTGAAGGAAAGAACTTCATATAAAAACCAGACGGTAGCACTCTCAGAAAATTCTTTGTGACGATGGAGTTTAACTCAGGGAGCTGAACATTCGTTATGATGGAGCAGTTTCCAAACCCACGTTTTGTAGAATCTGCAAGGGGATATTTGGACCTCTCTGAGGATTTCGTTGGAAACGGGATCAACTTCCCATAACTGAACGGAAGCAAACTCAGAACATTCTTTGTGATGTTTGTATTCAACTCACAGAGTTGAACCTTCCTTTGATAGTTCAGGTTTGCAACACCCTTGTAGTAGAATCTGCAAGTGTATATTTTGACCACTTTGTAGCCTTCGTTTGAAACATCTATATCTTCACATCAAACCTAGACAGAAGCATTCTCAGAAAGTTTTCTGCGATGACTGCATTCAACTCACAGAGTTGAACAATCCTTCTGATGGAGCAGTTTTGAAACCCTCTTTCTTTGGAATCTGCAAGGGGATATGTGGACCTCTTTGAAGATTTCACTGGAAACGGGATCATCTTCACATAAAAACTAAACTGAAGCATTCTCGGAAACTACTTTGTGATGTTTGTATTCAACTCCCAGAGTTGAACTTTCCTTTTGAAAGAGCAGCTATGAAACACTCTTTTTCGAGAATCTGCAAGTGGACGTTTGGAGGGCTTTGAGGCCTGTGGTGGAAAAGGAAATATCTTCACATAAAAACTAGATAGAAGCATTCTCAGAAACTGCTTTGTGAGGATGGCATTCAACTCATGGAGTTGAACAATCCTATTGATAGAGCAGATTGGAATCACTCTTTTTGTAGAATCTGCAAATGGAGATTTGGACTGCTTTGAGGCCTACGGTAGTACAGGAAGGAACTTCATATAAAAGGCAAACGGAAGCATTCTCAGAATATTCTTTGTGATGATGGAGTTTCACTCACAGAGCTGAACATGCCTTTTGATGGAGCAGTTTCCAAATACACTTTTGGTAGAATCTGCAGGTGGATATTTGGAGCTCTCTGAGGATTTTGTTGGAAACGGGAATAATTTCCCATAACTAAACACAAACACTCTGAGAAAGTTCTTCATGATGAATGCATTTAACTCGCAGAGATGAACCTGCCTTTGAGAGTTCAGGTTCGAAACACTCTTTCTGTATAATCTGCAAGTGGATATTTGGACCACTGGGTGGCCTTCGTTCGAAACGGGTATATGTTCACGTAAAAACTAAAGAGAAGCATTCTCAGAAACTTCTGAGTGATGATTGCATTCAAGTCACACAGTTGAACCCTCCTTTTGATGGAGCAGTTTTGAAACTGTCTTTTTGTAGAATCTGTAAGTGGATACGTGGACCCCCTTTGAAGATTTCTTTGGAAACGGGAATATTTCCACAGAAAAACTAAACTGAAGCATTCTCAGAAACCGCTTTGTGATGTTTGTGTTCGAGCCACAGAGTTTAACATTGCTTTTCATAGAGCAGTTTTGAAATATTCTTTTCGCAGAATCTGCAAGTGGACATTTGGAGCGCTTTCAGGCCTGTGGTGGAAAAGGCCTGAAAGCCTTTTCCTTTATCTTCACAGAAAGACGAGAGAGAAGCATTGTCAGAAACTTCTTTGTGATGATTGCATTCAACTCACAGAGTTGAAGATTCCTTTTGAAACAGCAGTTTCGAAACACTCTTTCTGTGGGATCCGCAAGGGGATATTTGGACCTCTTTGAAGGTTTCGTTGGAAACGGGATAATCTTCACCTAAAAGCTAAACGGAAGCATTCTCAGAAACTTCTTTGGGATGTTTGCATTCACCTCACAGAGTTGAACTTTCCCTTTGATAGCGCAGCTTCGACACACTTTTTCTACAATGTGCAAGTGGCTATTTAGCGGGCTTGGAGGACTGTGTTGGAAAAGGAAATATCTTCTCCTAAAAACGACATAGAAGCATTCTCAGAAACTGCTCTGTGATGATTGCATTCAACTCCCAGAGTTGAACATTCCTTTTGATAGAGCAGTTTGCAAACACTCTTTTTGTAGAATCTGCAAGTGGAGATTTGGACCGCGTTGAGGCCTGTGGTAGTGAAGGAAAGAACTTCATATAAAAACCAGACGGTAGCACTCTCAGAAAATTCTTTGTGACGATGGAGTTTAACTCAGGGAGCTGAACATTCGTTATGATGGAGCAGTTTCCAAACACACGTTTTGTAGAATCTGCAAGGGGATATTGGGACCTCTCTGAGGATTTCGTTGGAAACGGGATCAACTTCCCATAACTGAACGGAAGCAAACTCAGAACATTCTTTGTGATGTTTGTATTCAACTCACAGAGTTGAACCTTCCTTTGATAGTTCAGGTTTGCAACACCCTTGTAGTAGAATCTGCAAGTGTATATTTTGACCACTTTGTAGCCTTCGTTTGAAACGTCTATATCTTCACATCAAACCTAGACAGAAGCATTCTCAGAAAGTTTGCTGTGATGACTGCATTCAACTCACAGAGTTGAACAATCCTTTTGATGGAGCAGTTTTGAAACCATCTTTCTTTGGAATCTGCAAGGGGATATGTGGACCTCTTTGAAGAATTCACTGGAAACGGGATCATCTTCACATAAAAACTAAACAGAAGATTCTCGGAAACTACTTTGTGATGTTTGTATTCAACTCCCAGAGTTGAACTTTCCTTTTGAAAGAGCAGCTATGAAACACTCTTTTTCGAGAATCTGCAAGTGGACATTTGGAGGGCTTTGAGGCCTGTGGTGGAAAAGGAAATATCTTCACATAAAAACTAGATAGAAGCATTCTCAGAAACGACTTTGTGAGGATGGCATTCAACTCATGGAGCTGAACAATCCTATTGATAGAGCAGATTGGAATCACTCTTTTTGTAGAATCTGCAAATGGAGATTTGGACTGCTTTGAGGCCTACGGTAGTATAGGAAGGAACTTCATATAAAAGGCAAACGGAAGCATTCTCGGAATATTCTTTGTGATGATGGAGTTTCACTCACAGAGCTGAACATGCCTTTTGATGGAGCAGTTTCCAAATACACTTTTGGTAGAATCTGCAGGTGGATATTTGGAGCTCTTTGAGGATTTCGTTGGAAACGGGAATAATTTCCCATAACTAAACACAAACACGCTGAGAAAGTTCTTCATGATGAATGCATTTAACTCGCAGAGATGAACCTGCCTTTGAGAGTTCAGGTTCGAAACACTCTTTCTGTAGAATCTGCAAGTGGATATTTGGACCACTGGGTGGCCTTCGTTCGAAACGGGTATATGTTCACGTAAAAACTAAAGAGAAGCATTCTCAGAAACTTCTGAGTGATGATTGCATTCAAGTCACACAGTTGAACCCTCCTTTTGATTGAGCAGTTTTGAAACTGTCTTTTTGTAGAATCTGTAAGTGGATGCGTGGACCTCTTTGAAGATTTCTTTGGAAACGGGAATATTTCCACAGAAAAACTAAACTGAAGCATTCTCAGAAACTGCTTTGTGATGTTTGTGTTCGAGCCGCAGAGTTTAACATTGCTTTTCATAGAGCAGTTTTGAAATATTCTTTTGGCAGAATCTGCAAGTGGACATTTGGAGCGCTTTCAGGCCTGTGGTGGAAAAGGCCTGAAAGCCTTTTCCTTTATCTTCACAGAAAGACGAGAGAGAAGCATTGTCAGAAACTTCTTTGTGATGATTGCATGCAACTCACAGAGTTGAAGATTCCTTTTGAAACAGCAGTTTCGAAACACTCTTTCTGTGGGATCCGCAAGGGGATATTTGGACCTCTTTGAAGGTTTCGTTGGAAACGGGATAATCTTCACCTAAAAGCTAAATGGAAGCATTCTCAGAAACTTTTTGGGATGTTTGCATTCACCTCACAGAGTTGAACTTTCCCTTTGATAGCGCAGCTTTGACACACTTTTTCTACAATGTGCAAGTGGCTATTTAGCGGGCTTGGAGGACTGTGTTGGAAAAGGAAATATCTTCTCCTAAAAACGACATAGAAGCATTCTCAGAAACTGCTCTGTGATGATTGCATTCAACTCCCAGAGTTGAACATTCCTTTTGATAGAGCAGTTTGCAAACACTCTTTCTGTAGAATCTGCAAGTGGAGATTTGGACCGCTTTGAGGCCTGTGGTAGTGAAGGAAAGAGCTTCATATAAAAACCAGACGGTAGCACTCTCAGAAAATTCTTTGTGACGATGGAGTTTAACTCAGGGAGCTGAACATTCGTTATGATGGAGCAGTTTCCAAACACACGTTTTGTAGAATCTGCAAGGGGATATTTGGACCTCTCTGAGGATTTCGTTGGAAACGGGATCAACATCCCATAACTGAACGGAAGCAAACTCAGAACATTCTTTGTGATGTATGTTTGTATTCAACTCACAGAGTTGAACCTTCCTTTGAGAGTTCAGGTTTGCAACACCCTTGTAGTAGAATCTGCAAGAGTATATTTTGACCACTTTGTAGCCTTCGTTTGAAACGTCTATATCTTCACATCAAACCTAGACAGAAGCATTCTCAGAAAGTTTTCTGCGATGACTGCATTCAACTCACAGAGTTGAACAATCCTTTTGATGGAGCAGTTTTGAAACCCTCTTTCTTTGGAATCTGCAAGGGGATATGTGGACATCTTTGAAGATTTCACTGGAAACGGGATCATCTTCACATAAGAACTAAACAGAAAGCATTCTCGGAAACTACTTTGTGATGTTTGTATTCAACTCCCAGAGTTGAACTTTCCTTTTGAAAGAGCAGCTATGAAACACTCTTTTTCGAGAATCTGCAAGTGGACGTTTGGAGGGCTTTGAGGCCTGTGGTGGAAAAGGAAATATCTTCACATAAAAACTAGATAGAGCATTCTCAGAAACTACTTCGTGAGGATGGCTTTCAACTCATGGAGTTGAACAATCCTATTGATACAGCAGATTGGAATCACTCTTTTTGTAGAATCTGCAAATGGAGATTTGGACTGCTTTGAGGCCTACGGTCGTATAGGAAGGAACTTCATATAAAAGGCAAACGGAAGCATTCTCAGAATATTCTTTGTGATGATGGAGTTTCACTCACAGAGCTGAACATGCCTTTTGATGGAGCAGTTTCCAAATACACTTTTGGTAGAATCTGCAGGTGGATATTTGGACCACTCTGAGGATTTCGTTGGAAACGGGAATAATTTCCCATAACTAAGCACAAACACTCTGAGAAAGTTCTTCATGATGAATGCATTTAACTCGCAGAGATGAACCTGCCTTTGAGAGTTCAGGTTCGAAACACTCTTTCTGTAGAATCTGCAAGTGGATATTTGGACCACTGGGTGGCCTTCGTTCGAAACGGGTATATGTTCACGTAAAAACTAAAGAGAAGCATTCTCAGAAACTTCTGAGTGATGATTGCATTCAAGTCACACAGTTGAACCCTCCTTTTGATGGAGCAGTTTTGAAACTGTCTTTTTGTAGAATCTGTAAGTGGATACGTGGACCTCTTTGAAGATTTCTTTGGAAACGGGAATATTTCCACAGAAAAACTAAACTGAAGCATTCTCAGAAACCGCTTTGTGATGTTTGTGTTCGAGCCACAGGGTTTAACATTGCTTTTCATAGAGCAGTTTTGAAATATTCTTTTCGCAGAATCTGCAAGTGGACATTTGGAGCGCTTTCAGGCCTGTGGTGGAAAAGGCCTGAAAGCCTTTTCCTTTATCTTCACAGAAAGACGAGAGAGAAGCATTGTCAGAAACTTCTTTGTGATGATTGCATTCAACTCACAGAGTTGAAGATTCCTTTTGAAACAGCAGTTTCGAAACACTCTTTCTGTGGGATCCGCAAGGGGATATTTGGACCTCTTTGAAGGTTTCGTTGGAAACGGGATAATCTTCACCTAAAAGCTAAACGGAAGCATTCTCAGAAACTTCTTTGGGATGTTTGCATTCACCTCACAGAGTTGAACTTTCCCTTTGATAGCGCAGCTTTGACACACTTTTTCTACAATGTGCAAGTGGCTATTTAGCGGGCTTGGAGGACTGTGTTGGAAAAGGAAATATCTTCTCCTAAAAACGACATAGAAGCATTCTCAGAAACTGCTCTGTGATGATTGCATTCAACTCCCAGAGTTGAACATTCCTTTTGATAGAGCAGTTTGCAAACACTCTTTTTGTAGAATCTGCAAGTGGAGATTTGGACCGCTTTGAGGCCTGTGGTAGTAAAGGAAAGAACTTCATATAAAAACTAGACGGTAGCACTCTCAGAAAATTCTTTGTGACGATGGAGTTTAACTCAGAGAGCTGAACATTCGTTATGATGGAGCAGTTTCCAAACACACGTTTTGCAGAATCTGCAAGGGGATATTTGGACCTCTCTGAGGATTTCGTTGGAAACGGGATCAACTTCCCATAACTGAACGGAAGCAAACTCAGAACATTCTTTGTGATGTTTGCATTCATCTCACAGAGTTGAACCTTCCTTTGATAGTTGAGGTTTGCAACACCCTTGTAGTAGAATCTGCAAGTGTATATTTTGACCACTTTGTAGCCTTCGTTTGAAACGTCTATATCTTCACATCAAACCTAGACAGAAGCATTCTCAGAAAGTTTTCTGCGATGACTGCATTCAACTCACAGAGTTGAACAATCCTTTTGATGGAGCAGTTTTGAAACCCTCTTTCTTTGGAATCTGCAAGGGGATATGTGGACCTCTTTGAAGATTTCACTGGAAACGGGATCATCTTCACATAAGAACTAAACAGAAGCATTCTCGGAAACTACTTTGTGATGTTTGTATTCAACTCCCAGAGTTGAAATTTCCTTTTGAAAGAGCAGCTATGAAACACACTTTTTCGAGAATCTGCAAGTGGACGTTTGGAGGGCTTTGAGGCCTGTGGTGGAAAAGGAAATATCTTCACATAAAAACTAGATAGAAGCATTCTCAGAAACGACTTTGTGAGCATGGCATTCAACTCATGGAGTTGAACAATCCTATTGATAGAGCAGATTGGAATCACTCTTTTTGTAGAATCTGCAAATGGAGATTTGGACTGCTTTGAGGCCTACGGTAGTATAGGAAGGAACTTCATATAAAAGGCAAATGGAAGCATTCTCAGAATATTCTTTGTGATGATGGAGTTTCACTCACAGAGCTGAACATGCCTTTTGATGGAGCAGTTTCCAAATACACTTTTGGTAGAATCTGCAGGTGGATATTTGGAGCTCTCTGAGGATTTCGTTGGAAACGGGAATAATTTCCCATAACTAAACACAAACACTCTGAGAAAGTTCTTCATGATGAATGCATTTAACTCGCAGAGATGAACCTGCCTTTGAGAGTTCATGTTCGAAACACTCTTTCTGTAGAATCTGCAAGTGGATATTTGGACCACTGGCTGGCCTTCGTTCGAAACGGGTATATGTTCACGTAAAAACTAAAGAGAAGCATTCTCAGAAACTTCTGAGTGATGATTGCATTCAAGTCACACAGTTGAACCCTCCTTTTGATGGAGCAGTTTTGAAACTGTCTTTTTGTAGAATCTGTAAGTGGATACGTGGACCTCTTTGAAGATTTCTTTGGAAACGGGAATATTTCCACAGAAAAACTAAACTGAAGCATTCTCAGAAACCGCGTTGTGATGTTTGTGTTCGAGCCACTGAGTTTAACATTGCTTTTCACAAAGCAGTTTTGAAATATTCTTTTCGCAGAATCTGCAAGTGGACATTTGGAGCGCTTTCAGGCCTGTGGTGGAAAAGGCCTGAAAGCCTTTTCCTTTATCTTCACAGAAAGACGAGAGAGAAGCATTGTCAGAAACTTCTTTGTGATGATTGCATTCAACTCACAGAGTTGAAGATTCCTTTTGAAACAGCAGTTTCGAAACACTCTTTCTGTGGGATCCGCAAGGGGATATTTGGACCTCTTTGAAGCTTTCGTTGGAAACGGGATAATCTTCACCTAAAAGCTAAACGGAAGCATTCTCAGAAACTTCTTTGGGATGTTTGCATTCACCTCACAGAGTTGAACTTTCCCTTTGATAGCGCAGCTTTGACACACTTTTTCTACAATGTGCAAGTGGCTATTTAGCGGGCTTGGAGGACTGTGTTGGAAAAGGAAATATCTTCTCCTAAAAACGACATAGAAGCATTCTCAGAAACTGCTCTGTGATGATTGCATTCAACTCCCAGAGTTGAACATTCCTTTTGATAGAGCAGTTTGCAAACACTCTTTTTGTAGAATCTGCAAGTGGAGATTTGGACCGCTTTGAGGCCTGTGGTAGTGAAGGAAAGAACTTCATATAAAAACCAGACGGTAGCACTCTCAGAAAATTCTTTGTGACGATGGAGTTTAACTCAGGGAGCTGAACATTCGTTATGATGGAGCAGTTTCCAAACACACGTTTTGTAGAATCTGCAAGGGGATATTTGGACCTCTCTGAGGATTTCGTTGGAAACGGGATCAACTTCCCATAACTGAACGGAAGCAAACTCAGAACATTCTTTGTGATGTTTGTATTCAACTCACAGAGTTGAACCTTCCTTTGATAGTTCAGGTTTGCAACACCCTTGTAGTAGAATCTGCAAGTATATATTTTGACCACTTTGTAGCCTTCGTTTGAAACTTCTATATCTTCACATCAAACCTAGACAGAAGCATTCTCAGAAAGTTTTCTGCGATGACTGCATTCAACTCACAGAGTTGAACAATCCTTCTGATGGAGCAGTTTTGAAACCCTCTTTCTTTGGAATCTGCAAGGGGATATGTGGACCTCTTTGAAGATTTCACTGGAAACGGGATCATCTTCACATAAAAACTAAACAGAAGCATTCTCGGAAACTATTTTGTGATGTTTGTATTCAACTCCCAGAGTTGAACTTTCCTTTTGAAAGAGCAGCTATGAAACACTCTTTTTCGAGAATCTGCAAGTGGACGTTTGGAGGGCTTTGAGGCCTGTGGTGGAAAAGGAAATATCTTCACACAAAAACCAGATAGAAGCATTCTCAGAAACTACTTTGTGAGGATGGCATTCAACTCATGGAGTTGAACAATCCTATTGATAGAGCAGATTGGAATCACTCTTTTTATAGAATCTGCAAATGGAGATTTGGACTGCTTTGAGGCCTACGGTAGTACAGGAAGGAACTTCATATAAAAGGCAAACGGAAGCATTCTCAGAATATTCTTTGTGATGATGGAGTTTCACTCACAGAGCTGAACATGCCTTTTGATGGAGCAGTTTCCAAATACACTTTTGGTAGAATCAGCAGGTGGATATTTGGAGCTCTCTGAGGATTTCGTTGGAAACGGGAATAATTTCCCATAACTAAACACAAACACTCTGAGAAAGTTCTTCATGATGAATGCATTTAACTCGCAGAGATGAACCTGCCTTTGAGAGTTCAGGTTCGAAACACTCTTTCTGTAGAATCTGCAAGTGGATATTTGGACCACTGGGTGGCCTTCGTTCGAAACGGGTATATGTTCACGTAAAAACTAAAGAGAAGCATTCTCAGAAACTTCTGAGTGATGATTGCATTCAAGTCACACAGTTGAACCCTCCTTTTGATGGAGCAGTTTTGAAACTGTCTTTTTGTAGAATCTGTAAGTGGATACGTGGACCTCTTTGAAGATTTCTTTGGAAACGGGAATATTTCCACAGAAAAACTAAACTGAAGCATTCTCAGAAACCGCTTTGTGATGTTTGTGTTCGAGCCACAGAGTTTAACATTGCTTTTCATAGAGCAGTTTTGAAATATTCTTTTGGCAGAATCTGCAAGTGGACATTTGGAGCGCTTTCAGGCCTGTGGTGGAAAAGGGCCTGAAAGCCTTTTCCTTTATCTTCACAGAAAGACGAGAGAGAAGCATTGTCAGAAACTTCTTTGTGATGATTGCATTCAACTCACAGAGTTGAAGATTCCTTTTGAAACAGCAGTTTCGAAACACTCTTTCTGTGGGATCCGCAAGGGGATATTTGGACCTCTTTGAAGATTTCGTTGGAAACGGGATAATCTTCACCTAAAAGCTAAACGGAAGCATTCTCAGAAACTTCTTTGGGATGTTTGCATTCACCTCACAGAGTTGAACTTTCCCTTTGATAGCACAGCTTTGACACACTTTTTCTACAATGTGCAAGTGGCTATTTAGCGGGCTTGGAGGACTGTGTTGGAAAAGGAAATATCTTCTCCTAAAAACGACATAGAAGCATTCTCAGAAACTGCTCTGTGATGATTGCATTCAACTCCCAGAGTTGAACATTCCTTTTGATAGAGCAGTTTGCAAACACTCTTTTTGTAGAATCTGCAAGTGGAGATTTGGACCGCTTTGAGGCCTGTGGTAGTGAAGGACAGAACTTCATATAAAAACCAGACGGTAGCACTCTCAGAAAATTCTTTGTGACGATGGAGTTTAACTCAGGGAGCTGAACATTCGTTATGATGGAGCAGTTTCCAAACACACGTTTTGTAGAATCTGTGAGGGGATATTTGGACCTCTCTGAGGATTTCGTTGGAAACGGGATCAACTTCCCATAACTGAACGGAAGCAAACTCAGAACATTCTCTGTGATGTTTGTATTCAACTCACAGAGTTGAACCTTCCTTTGATAGTTCAGGTTTGCAACACTCTTGTAGTAGAATCTGCAAGTGTATATTTTGACCACTTTGTAGCCTTCGTTTGAAACGTCTATATCTTCACATCAAACCTAGACAGAAGCATTCTCAGAAAGTTTTCTGCGATGACTGCATTCAACTCACAGAGTTGAACAATCCTTCTGATGGAGCAGTTTTGAAACCCTCTTTCTTTGGAATCTGCAAGGGGATATGTGGACCTCTTTGAAGATTTCACTGGAAACGGGATCATCTTCACATAAAAACTAAACAGAAGCATTCTCGGAAACTATTTTGTGATGTTTGTATTCAACTCCCAGAGTTGAACTTTCCTTTTGAAAGAGTAGCTATGAAACACTCTTTTTCGAGAAACTGCAAGTGGACGTTTGGAGGGCTTTGAGGCCTGTGGTGGAAAAGGAAATATCTTCACACAAAAACCAGATAGAAGCATTCTCAGAAACTACTTTGTGAGGATGGCATTCAACTCATGGAGTTGAACAATCCTATTGATAGAGCAGATTGGAATCACTCTTTTTATAGAATCTGCAAATGGAGATTTGGACTGCTTTGAGGCCTACGGTAGTACAGGAAGGAACTTCATATAAAAGGCAAACGGAAGCATTCTCAGAATATTCTTTGTGATGATGGAGTTTCACTCACAGAGCTGAACATGCCTTTTGATGGAGCAGTTTCCAAATACACTTTTGGTAGAATCTGCAGGTGGATATTTGGAGCTCTCTGAGGATTTCGTTGGAAAAGGGAATAATTTCCCATAACTAAACACAAACACTCTGAGAAAGTTCTTCATGATGAATGCATTTAACTCGCAGAGATGAACCTGCCTTTGAGAGTTCAGGTTCGAAACACTCTTTCTGTAGAATCTGCAAGTGGATATTTGGACCACTGGGTGGCCTTCGTTCGAAACGGGTATATGTTCACGTAAAAACTAAAGAGAAGCATTCTCAGAAACTTCTGAGTGATGATTGCATTCAAGTCACACAGTTGAACCCTCCTTTTGATGGAGCAGTTTTGAAACTGTCTTTTTGTAGAATCTGTAAGTGGATACGTGGACCTCTTTGAAGATTTCCTTTGGAAACGGGAATATTTCCACAGAAAAACTAAACTGAAGCATTCTCAGAAACTGCTTTGTGATGTTTGTGTTCGAGCCACAGAGTTTAACATTGCTTTTCATAGAGCAGTTTTGCAATATTCTTTTCACAGAATCTGCAAGTGGACATTTGGAGCGCTTTCAGGCCTGTGGTGGAAAAGGCCTGAAAGCCTTTTCCTTTATCTTCACAGAAAGACGAGAGAGAAGCATTGTCAGAAACTTCTTTGTGATGATTGCATTCAACTCACAGAGTTGAAGATTCCTTTTGAAACAGCAGTTTCGAAACACTCTTTCTGTGGGATCCGCAAGGGGATATTTGGACCTCTTTGAAGGTTTCGTTGGAAACGGGATAATCTTCACCTAAAAGCTAAACGGAAGCATTCTCAGAAACTTCTTTGGGATGTTTGCATTCACCTCACAGAGTTGAACTTTCCCTTTGATAGCGCAGCTTCGACACACTTTTTCTACAATGTGCAAGTGGATATTTAGCGGGCTTGGAGGACTGTGGTGGAAAAGGAAATATCTTCTCCTAAAAACCACATAGAAGCATTCTCAGAAACTGCTCTGTGATGATTGCATTCAACTCCCAGAGTTGAACATTCCTTTTGATAGAGCAGTTTGCAAACACTCTTTTTGTAGAATCTGCAAGTGGAGATTTGGACCGCTTTGAGGCCTGTGGTAGTAAAGGAAAGAACTTCATATAAAAACTAGACGGTAGCACTCTCAGAAAAAACTTTGTGACGATGGAGTTTAACTCAGAGAGCTGAACATTCGTTATGATGGAGCAGTTCCCAAACACACGTTTTGCAGAATCTGCAAGGGGATATTTGGACCTCTCTGAGGATTTCGTTGGAAACGGGATCAACTTCCCATAACTGAACGGAAGCAAACTCAGAACATTCTTTGTGATGTTTGTATTCAACTCACAGAGTTGAACCTTCCTTTGATAGTTCAGGTTTGCAACACCCTTGTAGTAGAATCTGCAAGTGTATATTTTGACCACTTTGTAGCCTTCGTTTGAAACGTCTATATCTTCACATCAAACCTAGACAGAAGCATTCTCAGAAAGTTTTCTGCGATGACTGCATACAACTCATAGAGTTGAGTAATCCTTTTGATGGAGCAGTTTTGAAACCCTCTTTCTTTGGAATCTGCAAGGGGATATGTGGACCTCTTTCAAGATTTCACTGGAAACGGGATCATCTTCACATAAGAACTAAACAGAAGCATTCTCGGAAACTACTTTGTGATGTTTGTATTCAACTCCCAGAGTTGAACTTTCCTTTTGAAAGAGCAGCTATGAAACACTCTTTTTCGAGAATCTGCAAGTGGACGTTTGGAGGGCTTTGAGGCCTGTGGTGGAAAAGGAAATATCTTCACATAAAAACTAGATAGAAGCATTCTCAGAAACGACTTTGTGAGGATGGCATTCAACTCATGGAGTTGAACAATCCTATTGATAGAGCAGATTGGAATCACTCTTTTTGTAGAATCTGCAAATGGACATTTGGACTGCTTTGAGGCCTACGGTAGTACAGGAAGGAACTTCATATAAAAGGCAAACGGAAGCATTCTCTGAATATTCTTTGTGATGATGCAGTTTCACTCACAGAGCTGAACATGCCTTTTGATGGAGCAGTTTCCAAATACACTTTTGGTAGAATCTGCAGGTGGATATTTGGACCTCTCTGAGGATTTCGTTGGAAACGGGAATAATTTCCCATAACTAAACACAAACACTCTGAGAAAGTTCTTCATGATGAATGCATTTAACTCGCAGAGATGAACCTGCCTTTGAGAGTTCAGGTTCGAAACACCCTTTCTGTAGAATCTGCAAGTGGATATTTGGACCACTGGGTGGCCTTCGTTCGAAACGGGTATATGTTCACGTAAAAACTAAAGAGAAGCATTCTCAGAAACTTCTGAGTGATGATTGCATTCAAGTCACACAGTTGAACCCTCCTTTTGATGGAGCAGTTTTGAAACTGTCTTTTTGTAGAATCTGTAAGTGGATACGTGGACCTCTTTGAAGATTTCTTTGGAAACGGGAATATTTCCACAGAAAAACTAAACTGAAGCATTCTCAGAAACTGCTTTGTGATGTTTGTGTTCGAGCCACAGAGTTTAACATTGCTTTTCACAAAGCAGTTTTGAAATATTCTTTTCGCAGAATCTGCAAGTGGACATTTGGAGCGCTTTCAGGCCTGTGGTGGCAAAGGCCTGAAAGCATTTATTTATCTTCACAGAAAGACGAGAGAGAAGCATTGTCAGAAACTTCTTTGTGATGATTGCATTCAACTCACAGAGTTGAAGATTCCTTTTGAAACAGCAGTTTCGAAACACTCTTTCTGTGGGATCCGCAAGGGGATATTTGGACTTCTTTGAAGGTTTCGTTGGAAACGGGATAATCTTCACCTAAAAGCTAAACGGAAGCACTCTCAGAAACTTCTTTGGGATGTTTGCATTCACCTCTCAGAGTTGAACTTTCCCTTTGATAGCGCAGCTTTGACACACTTTTTCTACAATGTGCAAGTGGCTATTTAGCGGACTTGGAGGAATGTGTTGGAAAAGGAAATATCTTCTCCTAAAAACGACATAGAAGCATTCTCAGAAACTGCTCTGTGATGATTGCATTCAACTCCCAGAGTTGAACATTCCTTTTGATAGAGCAGTTTGCAAACACTCTTTTTGTAGAATCTGCAAGTGGAGATTTGGACCGCTTTGAGGCCTGTGGTAGTGAAGGAAAGAACTTCATATAAAAACCAGACGGTAGCACTCTCAGAAAATTCTTTGTGACGATGGAGTTTAACTCAGGGAGCTGAACATTCGTTATGATGGAGCAGTTTCCAAACACACGTTTTGTAGAATCTGCAAGGGGATATTTGGACCTCTCCTGAGGATTTCGTTGGAAACGGGATCAACTTCCCATAACTGAACGGAAGCAAACTCAGAACATTCTTTGTGATGTTTGTATTCAACTCACAGAGTTGAACCTTCCTTTGATAGTTCAGGTTTGCATCACCCTTGTAGTAGAATCTGCAAGTGTATATGTTGACCACTTTGTAGCCTTCGTTTGAAACGTCTATATCTTCACATCAAACCTAGACAGAAGCATTCTCAGAAAGTTTTCTGCGATGACTGCATTCAACTCACAGAGTTGAACAATCCTTTTGATGGAGCAGTTTTGAAACCCTCTTTCTTTGGAATCTGCAAGGGGATATGTGGACCTCTTTGAAGATTTCACTGGAAACGGGATCATCTTCACATAAGAACTAAACAGAAGCATTCTCGGAAACTACTTTGTGATGTTTGTATTCAACTCCCAGAGTTGAACTTTCCTTTTGAAAGAGCAGCTATGAAACACTCTTTTTCGAGAATCTGCAAGTGGACGTTTGGAGGGCTTTGAGGCCTGTGGTGGAAAAGGAAATATCTTCACATAAAAACTAGATAGAAGCATTCTCACAAACGAGTTTGTGAGGATGGCATTCAACTCATGGAGTTGAACAATCCTATTGATAGAGCAGATTGGAATCACTCTTTTTGTAGAATCTGCAAATGGAGATTTGGACTGCTTTGAGGCCTACGGTAGTATAGGAAGGAACTTCATATAAAAGGCAAACGGAAGCATTCTCAGAATATTCTTTGTGATGATGGAGTTTCACTCACAGAGCTGAACATGCCTTTTGATGGAGCAGTTGCCAAATACACTTTTGGTAGAATCTGCAGGTGGATATTTGGACCTCACTGAGGATATCGATGGAAACGGGAATAATTTCCCATACCTAAACACAAACACTCTGAGAAAGTTCTTCATGATGAATGCATTTAACTCGCAGAGATGAACCTGCCTTTGAGAGTTCAGGTTCGAAACACTCTTTCTGTAGAATCTGCAAGTGGATATTTGGACCACTGGGTGGCCTTCGTTCGAAACGGGTATATGTTCACGTAAAAACTAAAGAGAAGCATTCTCAGAAACTTCTGAGTGATGATTGCATTAAAGTCACACGGTTGAACCCTCCTTTTGATTGAGCAGTTTTGAATCTGTCTTTTTGTAGGATCTGTAAGTGGATACGTGGACCTCTTTGAAGATTTCTTTGGAAACAGGAATATTTCCACAGAAAAACTAAACTGAAGCATTCTCAGAAACGGCTTTGTGATGTTTGTGTTCGAGCCGCAGAGTTTAACATTGCTTTTCACAGAGCAGTTTTGAAATATTCTTTTGGCAGAATCTGCAAGTGGACATTTGGAGCGCTTTCAGGCCTGTGGTGGAAAAGGCCTGAAAGCCTTTTCCTTTATCTTCACAGAAAGACGAGAGAGAAGCATTGTCAGAAACTTCTTTGTGATGATTGCATTCAACTCACAGAGTTGAAGATTCCTTTTGAAACAGCAGTTTCGAAACACTCTTTCTGTGGGATCCGCAAGGGGATATTTGGACCTCTTTGAAGATTTCGTTGGAAACGGGATAATCTTCACCTAAAAGCTAAACGGAAGCATTCTCAGAAACTTCTTTGGGATGTTTGCATTCACCTCACAGAGTTGAACTTTCCCTTTGATAGCGCAGCTTTGACACACTTTTTCTACAATGTGCAAGTGGCTATTTAGCGGGCTTGGAGGACTGTGTTGGAAAAGGAAATATCTTCTCCTAAAAACGACATAGAAGCATTCTCAGAAACTGCTCTGTGATGATTGCATTCAACTCCCAGAGTTGAACATTCCTTTTGATAGAGCAGTTTGCAAACACTCTTTTTGTAGAATCTGCAAGTGGAGATTTAGACCGCTTTGAGGCCTGTGGTAGTGAAGGAAAGAACTTCATATAAAAACCAGACGGTAGCACTCTCAGAAAATTCTTTGTGACGATGTAGTTTAACTCAAGGAGCTGAACATTCGTTATGATGGAGCAGTTTCCAAACACACGTTTTGTAGAATCTGCGAGGGGATATTTGGACCTCTCTGAGGATTTCGTTGAAAACGGGATCAACTTCCCATAACTGAACGGAAGCAAACTCAGAACATTCTTTGTGATGTTTGAATTCAACTCACAGAGTTGAACCTTCCTTTGATAGTTCAGGTTTGCAACACCCTTGTAGTAGAATCTGCAAGTGTATATTTTGACCACTTTGTAGCCTTCGTTTGAAACGTCTATATCTTCACATCAAACCTAGACAGAAGCATTCTCAGAAAGTTTTCTGCGATGACTGCATTCAACTCACAGAGTTGAACAATCCTTCTGATGGAGCAGTTTTGAAACCCTCTTTCTTTGGAATCTGCAAGGGAATATGTGGACCTCTTTGAAGATTTCACTGGAAACGGGATCATCTTCACATAAAAACTAAACAGAAGCATTCTCGGAAACTACTTTGTGATGTTTGTATTCAACTCCCAGAGTTGAACTTTCCTTTTGAAAGAGCAGCTATGAAACACTCTTTTTCGAGAATCTGCAAGTGGACGTTTGGAGGGCTTTGAGGCCTGTGGTGGAAAAGGAAATATCTTCACATAAAAACTAGATAGAAGCATTCTCAGAAACGACTTTGTGAGGATGGCATTCAACTCATGGAGTTGAACAATCCTATTGATAGAGCAGATTGGAATCACTCTTTTTGTAGAATCTGCAAATGGAGATTTGGACTGCTTTGAGGCCTCCGGTCGTATAGGAAGGAACTTCATATAAAAGGCAAACGGAAGCATTCTCAGAATATTCTTTGTGATGATGGAGTTTCACTCACAGAGCTGAACATGCCTTTTGAGATGGGAGCAGTTTCCAAATACACTTTTGGTAGAATCTGCAGGTGGATATTTGGAGCTCTCTGAGGATTTCGTTGGAAACGGGAATAATTTCCCATAACTAAACACAAACACTCTGAGAAAGTTCTTCATGATGAATGCATTTAACTCGCAGAGATGAACCTGCCTTTGAGAGTTCAGGTTCGAAACACTCTTTCTGTAGAATCTGCAAGTGGATATTTGGACCACTGGGTGGCCTTCGTTCGAAACGGGTATATGTTCACGTAAAAACTAAAGAGAAGCATTCTCAGAAACTTCTGAGTGATGATTGCATTCAAGTCACACAGTTGAACCCTCCTTTTGATTGAGCAGTTTTGAAACTGTCTTTTTGTGGAATCTGTAAGTGGATGCGTGGACCTCTTTGAAGATTTCTTTGGAAACGGGAATATTTCCACAGAAAAACTATACTGAAGCATTCTCAGAAACTGCTTTGTGATGTTTGTGTTCGAGCCGCAGAGTTTAACATTGCTTTTCATAGAGCAGTTTTGAAATATTCTTTTGGCAGAATCTGCAAGTGGACATTTGGAGCGCTTTCAGGCCTGTGGTGGAAAAGGCCTGAAAGCCTTTTCCTTTATCTTCACAGAAAGACGAGAGAGAAGCATTGTCAGAAACTTCTTTGTGATGATTGCATTCAACTCACAGAGTTGAAGATTCCTTTTGAAACAGCAGTTTCGAAACACTCTTTCTGTGGGATCCGCAAGGGGATATTTGGATCTATTTGAAGGTTTCGTTGGAAAATGGATAATCGTCACCTAAAAGCTAAGCGGAAGCATTCTCAGTAAACTTCTTTGGGATGTTTGCATTCACCTCACAGAGTTGAACTTTCCCTTTGATAGCGCAGCTTCGACACACTTTTTCTACAATGTGCAAGTGGATATTTAGCGGGCTTGGAGCACTGTGTTGGAAAAGGAAATATCTTCTCCTAAAAACGACATAGAAGCATTCTCAGAAACTGCTCTGTGATGATTGCATTCAACTCCCAGAGTTGAACATTCCTTTTGATAGAGCAGTTTGCAAACACTCTTTTTGTAGAATCTGCAAGTGGAGATTTGGACCGCTTTGAGGCCTGTGGTAGTGAAGGAAAGAACTTCATATAAAAACCAGACGGTAGCACTCTCAGAAAATTCTTTGTGACGATGGAGTTTAACTCAGGGAGCTGAACATTCGTTATGATGGAGCAGTTTCCAAACACACGTTTTGTAGAATCTGCAAGGGGATATTTGGACCTCTCTGAGGATTTCGTTGGAAACGGGATCAACTTCCCATAACTGAACGGAAGCAAACTCAGAACATTCTTTGTGATGTTTGTATTCAACTCACAGAGTTGAACCTTCCTTTGATAGTTCAGGTTTGCAACACCCTTGTAGTAGAATCTGCAAGTGTATATTTTGACCACTTTGTAGCCTTCGTTTGAAACGTCTATATCTTCACATCAAACCTAGACAGAAGCATTCTCAGAAAGTTTTCTGCGATGACTGCATTCAACTCACAGAGTTGAACAATCCTTCTGATGGAGCAGTTTTGAAACCCTCTTTCTTTGGAATCTGCAAGGGGATATGTGGACCTCTTTGAAGATTTCACTGGAAACGGGATCATCTTCACATAAAAACTAAACAGAAGCATTCTCGGAAACTATTTTGTGATGTTTGTATTCAACTCCCAGAGTTGAACTTTCCTTTTGAAAGAGCAGCTATGAAACACTCTTTTTCGAGAATCTGCAAGTGGACGTTTGGAGGGCTTTGAGGCCTGTGGTGGAAAAGGAAATATCTTCACACAAAAACCAGATAGAAGCATTCTCAGAAACTACTTTGTGAGGATGGCATTCAACTCATGGAGTTGAACAATCCTATTGATAGAGCAGATTGGAATCACTCTTTTTGTAGAATCTGCAAATGGAGATTTGGACTGCTTTGAGGCCTACGGTAGTACAGGAAGGAACTTCATATAAAAGGCAAACGGAAGCATTCTCAGAATATTCTTTGTGATGATGGAGTTTCACTCACAGAGCTGAACATGCCTTTTGATGGAGCAGTTTCCAAATACACTTTTGGTAGAATCTGCAGGTGGATATTTGGAGCTCTCTGAGGATTTCGTTGGAAACGGGAATAATTTCCCATAACTAAACACAAAACACTCTGAGAAAGTTCTTCATGATGAATGCATTTAACTCGCAGAGATGAACCTGCCTTTGAGAGTTCAGGTTCGAAACACTCTTTCTGTATAATCTGCAAGTGGATATTTGGACCACTGGGTGGCCTTCGTTCGAAACGGGTATATGTTCACGTAAAAACTAAAGAGAAGCATTCTCAGATACTTCTGAGTGATGATTGCATTCAAGTCACACGGTTGAACACTCCTTTTGATGGAGCAGTTTTGAAACTGTCCTTTTGTAGAATCTGTAAGTGGATACGTGGACCTCTTTGAAGATTTCTTTGGAAACGGGAATATTTCCACAGAAAAACTAAACTGAAGCATTCTCAGAAACCGCTTTGTGATGTTTGTGTTCGAGCCACAGAGTTTAACATTGCTTTTCATAGAGCAGTTTTGAAATATTCTTTTGGCAGAATCTGCAAGTGGACATTTGGAGCGCTTTCAGGCCTGTGGTGGCAAAGGCCTGAAAGCCTTTTCCTTTATCTTCACAGAAAGACGAGAGAGAAGCATTGTCAGAAACTTCTTTGTGATGATTGCATTCAACTCACAGAGTTGAAGATTCCTTTTGAAACAGCAGTTTCGAAACACTCTTTCTGTGGGATCCGCAAGGGGATATTTGGACCTCTTTGAAGGTTTCGTTGGAAACGGGATAATCTTCACCTAAAAGCTAAACGGAAACATTCTCAGAAACTTCTTTGGGATGTTTGCATTCACCTCACAGAGTTGAACTTTCCCTTTGATAGCGCAGCTTTGACACACTTTTTCTACAATGTGCAAGTGGCTATTTAGCGGGCTTGGAGGACTGTGTTGGAAAACGAAATATCTTCTCCTAAAAACGACATAGAAGCATTCTCAGAAACTGCTCTGTGATGATTGCATTCAACTCCCAGAGTTGAACATTCCTTTTGATAGAGCAGTTTGCAAACACTCTTTTTGTAGAATCTGCAAGTGGAGATTTGGACCGCTTTGAGGCCTGTGGTAGTGAAGGAAAGAACTTCATATAAAAACCAGACGGTAGCACTCTCAGAAAATTCTTTGTGACGATGGAGTTTAACTCAGGGAGCTGAACATTCGTTATGATGGAGCAGTTTCCAAACCCACGTTTTGTAGAATCTGCAAGGGGATATTTGGACCTCTCTGAGGATTTCGTTGGAAACGGGATCAACTTCCCATAACTGAACGGAAGCAAACTCAGAACATTCTTTGTGATGTTTGTATTCAACTCACAGAGTTGAACCTTCCTTTGATAGTTCAGGTTTGCAACACCCTTGTAGTAGAATCTGCAAGTGTATATTTTGACCACTTTGTAGCCTTCGTTTGAAACATCTATATCTTCACATCAAACCTAGACAGAAGCATTCTCAGAAAGTTTTCTGCGATGACTGCATTCAACTCACAGAGTTGAACAATCCTTCTGATGGAGCAGTTTTGAAACCCTCTTTCTTTGGAATCTGCAAGGGGATATGTGGACCTCTTTGAAGATTTCACTGGAAACGGGATCATCTTCACATAAAAACTAAACAGGAAGCATTCTCGGAAACTACTTTGTGATGTTTGTATTCAACTCCCAGAGTTGAACTTTCCTTTTGAAAGAGCAGCTATGAAACACTCTTTTTCGAGAATCTGCAAGTGGACGTTTGGAGGGCTTTGAGGCCTGTGGTGGAAAAGGAAATATCTTCACATAAAAACTAGATAGAAGCATTCTCAGAAACGACTTTGTGAGGATGGCATTCAACTCATGGAGTTGAACAATCCTATTGATAGAGCAGATTGGAATCACTCTTTTTGTAGAATCTGCAAATGGAGATTTGGACTGCTTTGAGGCCTAAGGTAGTATAGGAAGGAACTTCAGATAAAAGGCAAACGGAAGCATTCTCAGAATATTCTTTGTGATGATGGAGTTTCACTCACAAGAGCTGAACATGCCTTTTGATGGAGCAGTTTCCAAATACACTTTTGGTAGAATCTGCAGGTGGATATTTGGAGCTCTCTGAGGATTTCGTTGGAAACGGGAATAATTTCCCATAACTAAACACAAACACTCTGAGAAAGTTCTTCATGATGAATGCATTTAACTCGCAGAGATGAACCTGCCTTTGAGAGTTCAGGTTCGAAACACTCTTTCTGTAGAATCTGCGAGTGGATATTTGGACCACTGGGTGGCCTTCGTTCGAAACGGGTATATGTTCACGTAAAAACTAAAGAGAAGCATTCTCAGAAACTTCTGAGTGATGATTGCATTCAAGTCACACAGTTGAACCCTCCTTTTGATGGAGCAGTTTTGAAACTGTCTTTTTGTAGAATCTGTAAGTGGATACGTGGACCCCCTTTGAAGATTTCTTTGGAAACGGGAATATTTCCACAGAAAAACTAAACTGAAACATTCTCAGAAACCGCTTTGTGATGTTTGTGTTCCAGCCACAGAGTTTAACATTGCTTTTCATAGAGCAGTTTTGAAATATTCTTTTCGCAGAATCTGCAAGTGGACATTTGGAGCGCTTTCAGGCCTGTGGTGGAAAAGGCCTGAAAGCCTTTTCCTTTATCTTCACAGAAAGACGAGAGAGAAGCATTCTCAGAAACTTCTTTGGGATGTTTGCATTCACCTCACAGAGTTGAACTTTCCCTTTGATAGCGCAGCTTTGACACACTTTTTCTACAATGTGCAAGTGGCTATTTAGCGGGCTTGGAGGACTGTGTTGGAAAAGGAAATATCTTCTCCTAAAAACGACATAGAAGCATTCTCAGAAACTGCTCTGTGATGATTGCATTCAACTCCCAGAGTTGAACATTCCTTTTGATAGAGCAGTTTGCAAACACTCTTTTTGTAGAATCTGCAAGTGGAGATTTGGACCGCTTTGAGGCCTGTGGTAGTGAAGGAAAGAACTTCATATAAAAACCAGACGGTAGCACTCTCAGAAAATTCTTTGTGACGATGGAGTTTAACTCAGGGAGCTGAACATTCGTTATGATGGAGCAGTTTCCAAACACACGTTTTGTAGAATCTGCAAGGGGATATTTGGACCTCTCTGAGGATTTCGTTGGAAACGGGATCAACTTCCCATAACTGAACGGAAGCAAACTCAGAACATTCTTTGTGATGTTTGTATTCAACTCACAGAGTTGAACCTTCCTTTGATAGTTCAGGTTTGCAACACCCTTGTAGTAGAATCTGCAAGTGTATATTTTGACCACTTTGTAGCCTTCGTTTGAAACGTCTATATCTTCACATCAAACCTAGACAGAAGCATTCTCAGAAAGTTTTCTGCGATGACTGCATTCAACTCACAGAGTTGAACAATCCTTCTGATGGAGCAGTTTTGAAACCCTCTTTCTTTGGAATCTGCAAGAGGATATGTGGACCTCTTTGAAGATTTCACTGGAAACGGGATCATCTTCACATAAAAACTAAACAGAAGCATTCTCGGAAACTACTTTGTGATGTTTGTATTCAACTCCCAGAGTTGAACTTTCCTTTTGAAAGAGCAGCTATGAAACACTCTTTTTCGAGAATCTGCAAGTGGACGTTTGGAGGGCTTTGAGGCCTGTGGTGGAAAAGGAAATATCTTCACATAAAACTAGATAGAAGCATTCTCAGAAACGACTTTGTGAGGATGGCATTCAACTCATGGAGTTGAACAATCCTATTGATAGAGCAGATTGGAATCACTCTTTTTGTAGAATCTGCAAATGGAGATTTGGACTGCTTTGAGGCCTACGGTAGTATAGGAAGGAACTTCATATAAAAGGCAAACGGAAGCATTCTCAGAATATTCTTTGTGATGATGGAGTTTCACTCACAGAGCTGAACATGCCTTTTGATGGAGCAGTTTCCAAATACACTTTTGGTAGAATCTGCAGGTGGATATTTGGAGCTCTCTGAGGATTTCGTTGGAAACGGGAATAATTTCCCATAACTAAACACAAACACTCTGAGAAAGTTCTTCATGATGAATGCATTTAACTCGCAGAGATGAACCTGCCTTTGAGAGTTCAGGTTCGAAACACTCTTTCTGTAGAATCTGCAAGTGGATATTTGGACCACTGGGTGGCCTTCGTTCGAAACGGGTATATGTTCATGTAAAAACTAAAGAGAAGCATTCTCAGAAACTTCTGAGTGATGATTGCATTCAAGTCACACAGTTGAACCCTCCTTTTGATGGAGCAGTTTTGAAACTGTCTTTTTGTAGAATCTGTAAGTGGATACGTGGACCTCTTTGAAGATTTCTTTGGAAACGGGAATATTTCCACAGAAAAACTAAACTGAAGCATTCTCAGAAACCGCTTTGTGATGTTTGTGTTCGAGCCACAGAGTTTAACATTGCTTTTCATAGAGCAGTTTTGAAATATTCTTTTGGCAGAATCTGCAAGTGGACATTTGGAGCGCTTTCAGGCCTGTGGTGGAAAAGGCCTGAAAGCCTTTTCCTTTATCTTCACAGAAAGACGAGAGAGAAGCATTGTCAGAAACTTCTTTGTGATGATTGCATTCAACTCACAGAGTTGAAGATTCCTTTTGAAACAGCAGTTTCGAAACACTCTTTCTGTGGGATCCGCAAGGGGATATTTGGACCTCTTTGAAGGTTTCGTTGGAAACGGGATAATCTTCACCTAAAAGCTAAACGGAAGCATTCTCAGAAACTTCTTTGGGATGTTTGCATTCACCTCACAGAGTTGAACTTTCCCTTTGATAGCGCAGCTTTGACACACTTTTTCTACAATGTGCAAGTGGCTATTTAGCGGGCTTGGAGGACTGTGTTGGAAAAGGAAATATCTTCTCCTAAAAACGACATAGAAGCATTCTCAGAAACTGCTCTGTGATGATTGCATTCAACTCCCAGAGTTGAACATTCCTTTTGATAGAGCAGTTTGCAAACACTCTTTTTGTAGAATCTGCAAGTGGAGATTTGGACCGCTTTGAGGCCTGTGGTAGTGAAGGAAAGAACTTCATATAAAAACCAGACGGTAGCACTCTCAGAAAATTCTTTGTGACGATGGAGTTTAACTCAGGGAGCTGAACATTCGTTATGATGGAGCAGTTTCCAAACACACGTTTTGTAGAATCTGCGAGGGGATATTTGGACCTCTCTGAGGATTTCGTTGGAAACGGGATCAACTTCCCATAACTGAACGGAAGCAAACTCAGAACATTCTTTGTGATGTTTGTATTCAATTCACAGAGTTGAACCTTCCTTTGATAGTTCAGGTTTGCAACACCCTTGTAGTAGAATCTGCAAGTGTATATTTTGACCACTTTGTAGCCTTCGTTTGAAACGTCTATATCTTCACATCAAACCTAGACAGAAGCATTCTCAGAAAGTTTTCTGCGATGACTGCATTCAACTCACAGAGATGAACAATCCTTCTGATGGAGCAGTTTTGAAACCCTCTTTCTTTGGAATCTGCAAGGGGATATGTGGACCTCTTTGAAGATTTCACTGGAAACGGGATCATCTTCACATAAAAACTAAACAGAAGCATTCTCGGAAACTACTTTGTGATGTTTGTATTCAACTCCCAGAGTTGAACTTTCCTTTTGAAAGAGCAGCTATGAAACACTCTTTTTCGAGAATCTGCAAGTGGACGTTTGGAGGGCTTTGAGGCCTGTGGTGGAAAAGGAAATATCTTCACATAAAAACTAGATAGAAGCATTCTCAGAAACGACTTTGTGAGGATGGCATTCAACTCATGGAGTTGAACAATCCTATTGATAGAGCAGATTGGAATCACTCTTTTTGTAGAATCTGCAAATGGAGATTTGGACTGCTTTGAGGCCTACGGTAGTATAGGAAGGAACTTCATATAAAAGGCAAACGGAAGCATTCTCAGAATATTCTTTGTGATGATGGAGTTTCACTCACAGAGCTGAACATGCCTTTTGATGGAGCAGTTTCCAAATACACTTTTGGTAGAATCTGCAGGTGGATATTTGGAGCTCTCTGAGGATTTCGTTGGAAACGGGAATAATTTCCCATAACTAAACACAAACACGCTGAGAAAGTTCTTCATGATGAATGCATTGAACTCGCAGAGATGAACCTGCCTTTGAGAGTTCAGGTTCGAAACACTCTTTCTGTAGAATCTGCAAGTGGATATTTGGACCACTGGCTGGCCTTCGTTCGAAACGGGTATATGTTCACGTAAAAACTAAAGAGAAGCGTTCTCAGAAACTTCTGAGTGATGATTGCATTCAAGTCACACAGTTGAACCCTCCTTTTGATTGAGCAGTTTTGAAACTGTATTTTGTAGAATCTGTAAGTGGATGCGTGGAACTCTTTGAAGATTTCTTTGGAAACGGGAATATTTCCACAGAAAAACTAAACTGAAGCATTCTCAGAAACTGCTTTGTGATGTTTGTGTTCGAGCCACAGAGTTTAACATTGCTTTTCATAGAGCAGTTTTGAAATATTCTTTTGGCAGAATCTGCAAGTGGACATTTGGAGCGCTTTCAGGCCTGTGGTGGAAAAGGCCTGAAAGCCTTTTCCTTTATCTTCACAGAAAGACGAGAGAGAAGCATTGTCAGAAACTTCTTTGTGATGATTGCATTCAACTCACAGAGTTGAAGATTCCTTTTGAAACAGCAGTTTCGAAACACTCTTTCTGTGGGATCCGCAAGGGGATATTTGGACCTCTTTGAAGATTTCGTTGGAAACGGGATAATCTTCACCTAAAAGCTAAACGGAAGCATTCTCAGAAACTTCTTTGGGATGTTTGCATTCACCTCACAGAGTTGAACTTTCCCTTTGATAGCGCAGCTTTGACACACTTTTTCTACAATGTGCAAGTGGCTATTTAGCGGGCTTGGAGGACTGTGTTGGAAAAGGAAATATCTTCTCCTAAAAACGACATAGAAGCATTCTCAGAAACTGCTCTGTGATGATTGCATTCAACTCCCAGAGTTGAACATTCCTTTTGATAGAGCAGTTTGCAAACACTCTTTTTGTAGAATCTGCAAGTGGAGATTTGGACCGCTTTGAGGCCTGTGGTAGTGAAGGAAAGAACTTCATATAAAAACCAGACGGTAGCACTCTCAGAAAATTCTTTGTGACGATGGAGTTTAACTCAGGGAGCTGAACATTCGTTATGATGGAGCAGTTTCCAAACACACGTTTTGTAGAATCTGCAAGGGGATATTTGGACCTCTCTGAGGATTTCGTTGGAAACGGGATCAACTTCCCATAACTGAACGGAAGCAAACTCAGAACATTCTTTGTGATGTTTGTATTCAACTCACAGAGTTGAACCTTCCTTTGATAGTTCAGGTTTGCAACACCCTTGTAGTAGAATCTGCAAGTGTATATTTTGACCACTTTGTAGCCTTCGTTTGAACGTCTATATCTTCACATCAAACCTAGACAGAAGCATTCTCAGAAAGTTTTCTGCGATGACTGCATTCAACTCACAGAGTTGAACAATCCTTTTGATGGAGCAGTTTTGAAACCCTCTTTCTTTGGAATCTGCAAGGGGATATGTGGACCTCTTTGAAGATTTCACTGGAAACGGGATCATCTTCACATAAGAACTAAACAGAAGCATTCTCGGAAACTACTTTGTGATGTTTGTATTCACCTCCCAGAGTTGAACTTTCCTTTTGAAAGAGCAGCTATGAAACACTCTTTTTCGAGAATCTGCATGTGGACGTTTGGAGGGCTTTGAGGCCTGTGGTGGAAAAGGAAATATCTTCACATAAAAACTAGATAGAAGCATTCTCAGAAACGACTTGGTGAGGATGGCATTCAACTCATGGAGTTGAACAATCCTATTGATAGAGCAGATTGGAATCACTCTTTTTGTAGAATCTGCAAATGGAGATTTGGACTGCTTTGAGGCCTACGGTCGTATAGGAAGGAACTTCATATAAAAGGCAAACGGAAGCATTCTCAGAATATTCTTTGTGATGATGGAGTTTCACTCACAGAGCTGAACATGCCTTTTGATGGAGCAGTTTCCAAATACACTTTTGGTAGAATCTGCAGGTGGATATTTGGAGCTCTCTGAGGATTTCGTTGGAAACGGGAATAATTTCCCATAACTAAACACAAACACTCTGAGAAAGTTCTTCATGATGAATGCATTTAACTCGCAGAGATGAACCTGCCTTTGAGAGTTCAGGTTCGAAACACTCTTTCTGTAGAATCTGCAAGTGGATATTTGGACCACTGGCTGGCCTTCGTTCGAAACGGGTATATGTTCACGTAAAAACTAAAGAGAAGCATTCTCAGAAACTTGTGAGTGATGATTGCATTCAAGTCACACAGTTGAACCCTCCTTTTGATGGAGCAGTTTTGAAACTGTCTTTTTGTAGAATCTGTTAGTGGATACGTGGACCTCTTTGAAGATTTCTTTGGAAACGGGAATATTTCCACAGAAAAACTAAACTGAAACATTCTCAGAAACCGCTTTGTGATGTTTGTGTTCCAGCCACAGAGTTTAACATTGCTTTTCATAGAGCAGTTTTGAAATATTCTTTTCGCAGAATCTGCAAGTGGACATTTGGAGCGCTTTCAGGCCTGTGGTGGAAAAGGCCTGAAAGCCTTTTCCTTTATCTTCACAGAAAGACGAGAGAGAAGCATTGTCAGAAACTTCTTTGTGATGATTGCATTCAACTCACAGAGTTGAAGATTCCTTTTGAAACAGCAGTTTCGAAACACTCTTTCTGTGGGATCCGCAAGGGGATATTTGCACCTCTTTGAAGGTTTCGTTGGAAACGGGATAATCTTCACCTAAAAGCTAAACGGAAGCATTCTCAGAAACTTCTTTGGGATGTTTGCATTCACCTCACAGAGTTGAACTTTCCCTTTGATAGCGCAGCTTTGACACACTTTTTCTACAATGTGCAAGTGGCTATTTAGCGGGCTTGGAGGACTGTGTTGGAAAAGGAAATATCTTCTAAAAACGACATAGAAGCATTCTCAGAAACTGCTCTGTGATGATTGCATTCAACTCCCAGGGTTGAACATTCCTTTTGATAGAGCAGTTTGCAAACACTCTTTTTGTAGAATCTGCAAGTGGAGATTTGGACCGCTTTGAGGCCTATGGTAGTAAAGGAAAGAACTTCATATAAAAACCAGACGGTAGCACTCTCAGAAAATTCTTTGTGACGATGGAGTTTAACTCAGGGAGCTGAACATTCGTTATGATGGAGCAGTTTCCAAACACACGTTTTGTAGAATCTGCAAGGGGATATTTGGACCTCTCTGAGGATTTCGCTGGAAACGGGATCAACTTCCCATAACTGAACGGAAGCAAACTCAGAACATTCTTTGTGATGTTTGTATTCAACTCACAGAGTTGAACCTTCCTTTGATAGTTCAGGTTTGCAACACCCTTGTAGTAGAATCTGCAAGTGTATATTTTGACCACTTTGTAGCCTTCGTTTGAAACGTCTATATCTTCACATCAAACCTAGAAAGAAGCATTCTCAGAAAGTTTTCTGCGATGACTGCATTCAACTCACAGAGTTGAACAATCCTTCTGATGGAGCAGTTTTGAAACCCTCTTTCTTTGGAATCTGCAAGGGGATATGTGGACCTCTTTGAAGATTTCACTGGAAACGGGATCATCTTCACATAAAAACTAAACAGAAGCATTCTCGGAAACTATTTTGTGATGTTTGTATTCAACTCCCAGAGTTGAACTTTCCTTTTGAAAGAGCAGCTATGAAACACTCTTTTTCGAGAATCTGCAAGTGGACGTTTGGAGGGCTTTGAGGCCTGTGGTGGAAAAGGAAATATCTTCACACAAAAACCAGATAGAAGCATTCTCAGAAACTACTTTGTGAGGATGGCATTCAACTCATGGAGTTGAACAATCCTATTGATAGAGCAGATTGGAATCACTCTTTTTGTAGAATCTGCAAATGGAGATTTGGACTGCTTTGAGGCCTACGGTAGTACAGGAAGGAACTTCATATAAAAGACAAACGGAAGCATTCTCAGAATATTCTTTGTGATGATGGAGTTTCACTGACAGAGCTGAACATGCCTTTTGATGGAGCAGTTTCCAAATACACTTTTGGTAGAATCTGCAGGTGGATATTTGGAGCTCTCTGAGGATTTCTTTGGAAACGGGAATAATTTCCCATAACTAAACACAAATACTCTGAGAAAGTTCTTCATGATGAATGCATTTAACTCGCAGAGATGAACCTGCCTTTGAGAGTTCAGGTTCGAAACACTCTTTCTGTAGAATCTGCAAGTGGATATTTGGACCACTGGGTGGCCTTCGTTCGAAACGGGTATATGTTCACGTAAAAACTAAAGAGAAGCACTCTCAGAAACTTCTGAGTGATGATTGCATTCAAGTCACACAGTTGAACCCTCCTTTTGATGGAGCAGTTTTGAAACTGTCTTTTTGTAGAATCTGTAAGTGGATACGTGGACCTCTTTGAAGATTTCTTTGGAAACGGGAATATTTCCACAGAAAAACTAAACTGAAGCATTCTCAGAAACTGCTTTGTGATGTTTGTGTTCGAGCCACAGAGTTTAACATTGCTTTTCATAGAGCAGTTTTGAAATATTCTTTTCGCAGAATCTGCAAGTGGACATTTGGAGCGCTTTCAGGCCTGTGGTGGAAAAGGCCTGAAAGCCTTTTCCTTTATCTTCACAGAAAGACGAGAGAGAAGCATTGTCAGAAACTTCTTTGTGATGATTGCATTCAACTCACAGAGTTGAAGATTCCTTTTGAAACAGCAGTTTCGAAACACTCTTTCTGTGGGATCCGCAAGGGGATATTTGGACCTCTTTGAAGGTTTCGTTGGAAACGGGATAATCTTCACCTAAAAGCTAAACGGAAGCATTCTCAGAAACTTCTTTGGGATGTTTGCATTCACCTGACAGAGTTGAACTTTCCCTTTGATAGCGCAGCTTTGACACACTTTTTCCACAATGTGCAAGTGGCTATTTAGCGGGCTTGGGGGACTGTGTTGGAAAAGGAAATATCTTCTCCTAAAAACGACATAGAAGCATTCTCAGAAACTGCTCTGTGATGATTGCATTCAACTCCCAGAGTTGAACATTCCTTTTGATAGAGCAGTTTGCAAACACTCTTTTTGTAGAATCTGCAAGTGGAGATTTGGACCGCTTTGAGGCCTGTGGTAGTGAAGGAAAGAACTTCATATAAAAACCAGACGGTAGCACTCTCAGAAAATTCTTTGTGACGATGGAGTTTAACTCAGGGAGCTGAACATTCGTTATGATGGAGCAGTTTCCAAACACACGTTTTGTAGAATCTGTGAGGGGATATTTGGACCTCTCTGAGGATTTCGTTGGAAACGGGATCAACTTCCCATAACTGAACGGAAGCAAACTCAGAACATTCTTTGTGATGTTTGTATTCAACTCACAGAGTTGAACCTTCCTTTGATAGTTCAGGTTTGCAACACCCTTGTAGTAGAATCTGCAAGTGTATATTTTGACCACTTTGTAGCCTTCGTTTGAAACGTCTATATCTTCACATCAAACCTAGAAAGAAGCATTCTCAGAAAGTTTTCTGCGATGACTGCATTCAACTCACAGAGTTGAACAATCCTTCTGATGGAGCAGTTTTGAAACCCTCTTTCTTTGGAATCTGCAAGGGGATATGTGGACCTCTTTGATGATTTCACTGGAAACGGGGTCATCTTCACATAAAAACTAAACAGAAGCATTCTCGGAAACTATTTTGTGATGTTTGTATTCAACTCCCAGAGTTGAACTTTCCTTTTGAAAGAGCAGCTATGAAACACTCTTTTTCGAGAATCTGCAAGTGGACGTTTGGAGGGCTTTGAGGCCTGTGGTGGAAAAGGAAATATCTTCACACAAAAACCAGATAGAAAGCATTCTCAGAAACTACTTTGTGAGGATGGCATTCAACTCATGGAGTTGAACAATCCTATTGATAGAGCAGATTGGAATCACTCTTTTTGTAGAATCTGCAAATGGAGATTTGGACTGCTTTGAGGCCTACGGTAGTACAGGAAGGAACTTCATATAAAAGGCAAACGGAGCATTCTCAGAATATTCTTTGTGATGATGGAGCTTCACTGACAGAGCTGAACATGCCTTTTGATGGAGCAGTTTCCAAATACACTTTTGGTAGAATCTGCAGGTGGATATTTGGAGCTCTCTGAGGATTTCGTTGGAAACGGGAATAATTTCCCATAACTAAACACAAACACTCTGAGAAAGTTCTTCATGATGAATGCATTTAACTCGCAGAGATGAACCTGCCTTTGAGAGTTCAGGTTCGAAACACTCTTTCTGTATAATCTGCAAGTGGATATTTGGACCACTGGGTGGCCTTCGTTCGAAACGGGTATATGTTCACGTAAAAACTAAAGAGAAGCATTCTCAGAAACTTCTGAGTGATGATTGCATTCAAGTCACACAGTTGAACCCTCCTTTTGATGGAGCAGTTTTGAAACTGTCTTTTTGTAGAATCTGTAAGTGGATACGTGGACCTCTTTGAAGATTTCTTTGGAAACGGGAATATTTCCACAGAAAAAGTAAACTGAAGCATTCTCAGAAACTGCTTTGTGATGTTTGTGTTCGAGCCGCAGAGTTTAACATTGCTTTTCATAGAGCAGTTTTGAAATATTCTTTTGGCAGAATCTGCAAGTGGACATTTGGAGCGCTTTCAGGCCTGTGGTGGAAAAGGCCTGAAAGCCTTTTCCTTTATCTTCACAGAAAGACGAGAGAGAAGCATTGTCAGAAACTTCTTTGTGATGATTGCATTCAACTCACAGAGTTGAAGATTCCTTTTGAAACAGCAGTTTCGAAACACTCTTTCTGTGGGATCCGCAAGGGGATATTTGGACCTCTTTGAAGGTTTCGTTGGAAACGGGATAATCTTCACCTAAAAGCTAAACGGAAGCATTCTCAGAAACTTCTTTGGGATGTTTGCATTCACCTCACAGAGTTGAACTTTCCCTTTGATAGCGCAGCTTTGACACACTTTTTCTACAATGTGCAAGTGGCTATTTAGCGGGCTTGGAGGACTGTGTTGGAAAAGGAAATATCTTCTCCTAAAAACGACATAGAAGCATTCTCAGAAACTGCTCTGTGATGATTGCATTCAACTCCCAGAGTTGAACATTCCTTTTGATAGAGCAGTTTGCAAACACTCTTTTTGTAGAATCTGCAAGTGGAGATTTGGACCGCTTTGAGGCCTGTGGTAGTGAAGGAAAGAACTTCATATAAAAACCAGACGGTAGCACTCTCAGAAAATTCTTTGTGACGATGGAGTTTAACTCAGAGAGCTGAACATTCGTTATGATGGAGCAGTTTCCAAACACACGTTTTGTAGAATCTGCAAGGGGATATTTGGACCTCTCTGAGGATTTCGTTGGAAACGGTATCAATTTCCCATAACTAAACGGAAGCAAACTCAGAACATTCTTTGTGATGTTTGTATTCAACTCACAGAGTTGAACCTTCCTTTGATAGTTCAGGTTTGCAACACCCTTGTAGTAGAATCTGCAAGTGTATATTTTGACCACTTTGTAGCCTTCATTTGAAACGTCTATATCTTCACATCAAACCTAGACAGAAGCATTCTCAGAAAGTTTTCTGCGATGACTGCATTCAACTCACAGAGTTGAACAATCCTTTTGATGGAGCAGTTTTGAAACCCTCTTTCTTTGGAATCTGCAAGGGGATATGTGGACCTCTTTGAAGATTTCACTGGAAACGGGATCATCTTCACATAAGAACTAAACAGAAGCATTCTCGGAAACTACTTTGTGAGGTTTGTATTCAACTCCCAGAGTTGAAATTTCCTTTTGAAAGAGCAGCTATGAAACACTCTTTTTCGAGAATCTGCAAGTGGACGTTTGGAGGGCTTTGAGGCCTGTGGTGGAAAAGGAAATATCTTCACATAAAAACTAGATAGAAGCATTCTCACAAACGACTTTGTGAGGATGGCATTCAAATCATGGAGTTGAACAATCCTATTGATAGAGCAGATTGGAATCACTCTTTTTGTAGAATCTGCAAATGGAGATTTGGACTGCTTTGAGGCCTACGGTAGTATAGGAAGGAACTTCATATAAAAGGCAAACGGAAGCATTCTCAGAATATTCTTTGTGATGATGGAGTTTCACTCACAGAGCTGAACATGCCTTTTGATGGAGCAGTTTCCAAATACACTTTTGGTAGAATCTGCAGGTGGATATTTGGACCTCTCTGAGGATTTCGTTGGAAACGGGAATAATTTCCCATAACTAAACACAAACACGCTGAGAAAGTTCTTCATGTTGAATGCATTGAACTCGCAGAGATGAACCTGCCTTTGAGAGTTCAGGTTCGAAACACTCTTTCTGTAGAATCTGCAAGTGGATATTTGGACCACTGGGTGGCCTTCGTTCGAAACGGGTATATGTTCACGTAAAAACTAAAGAGAAGCGTTCTCAGAAACTTCTGAGTGATGATTGCATTCAAGTCACACAGTTGAACCCTCCTTTTGATTGAGCAGTTTTGAAACTGTCTTTTTGTAGAATCTGTAAGTGGATGCGTGGACCTCTTTGAAGATTTCTTTGGAAACGGGAATATTTCCACAGAAAAACTAAACTGAAGCATTCTCAGAAACCGCTTTGTGATGTTTGTGTTCGAGCCACAGAGTTTAACATTGCTTTTCATAGAGCAGTTTTGAAATATTCTTTTGGCAGAATCTGCAAGTGGACATTTGGAGCGCTTTCAGGCCTGTGGTGGAAAAGGCCTGAAAGCCTTTTCCTTTATCTTCACAGAAAGACGAGAGAGAAGCATTGTCAGAAACTTCTTTGTGATGATTGCATTCAACTCACAGAGTTGAAGATTCCTTTTGAAACAGCAGTTTCGAAACACTCTTTCTGTGGGATCCGCAAGGGGATATTTGGACCTCTTTGAAGATTTCGTTGGAAACGGGATAATCTTCACCTAAAAGCTAAACGGAAGCATTCTCAGAAACTTCTTTGGGATGTTTGCATTCACCTCACAGAGTTGAACTTTCCCTTTGATAGCGCAGCTTTGACACACTTTTTCTACAATGTGCAAGTGGCTATTTAGCGGGCTTGGAGGACTGTGTTGGAAAAGGAAATATCTTCTCCTAAAAACGACATAGAAGCATTCTCAGAAACTGCTCTGTGATGATTGCATTCAACTCCCAGAGTTGAACATTCCTTTTGATAGAGCAGTTTGCAAACACTCTTTTTGTAGAATCTGCAAGTGGAGATTTGGACCGCTTTGAGGCCTGTGGTAGTGAAGGAAAGAACTTCATATAAAAACCAGACGGTAGCACTCTCAGAAAATTCTTTGTGACGATGGAGTTTAACTCAGGGAGCTGAACATTCGTTATGATGGAGCAGTTTCCGAACACACGTTTTGTAGAATCTGCAAGGGGATATTTGGACCTCTCTGAGGATTTCATTGGAAACGGGATCAACTTCCCATAACTGAACGGAAGCAAACTCAGAACATTCTTTGTGATGTTTGTATTCAACTCCCAGAGTTGAAATTTCCTTTTGAAAGAGCAGCTATGAAACACTCTTTTTCGAGAATCTGCAAGTGGACGTTTGGAGGGCTTTGAGGCCTGTGGTGGAAAAGGAAATATCTTCACATAAAAACTAGATAGAAGCATTCTCAGAAACTACTTTGTGAGGATGGCATTCAACTCATGGAGTTGAACAATCCTATTGATAGAGCAGATTGGAATCACTCTTTTTGTAGAATCTGCAAATGGAGATTTGGACTGCTTTGAGGCCTACAGTAGTACAGGAAGGAACTTCATATAAAAGGCAAACGGAAGCAGTCTCAGAATATTCTTTGTGATGACGGAGTTTCACTCACAGAGCTGAACATGCCTTTTCATGGAGCAGTTTCCAAATACACTTTTGGTACAATCTGCAGGTGGATATTTGGAGCTCTCTGAGGATTTCTTTGGAAACGGGAATAATTTCCCATAACTAAACACAAACACGCTGAGAAAGTTCTTCATGATGAATGCATTTAACTCGCAGAGATGAACCTGCCTTTGAGAGTTCAGGTTCAAAACACTCTTTCTGTAGAATCTGCAAGTGGATATTTGGACCACTGGCTGGCCTTCGTTCGAAACGGGTATATGTTCACGTAAAAACTAAAGAGAAGCATTCTCAGAAACTTCTGAGTGATGAATGCATTCAAGTCACACAGTTGAACCCTCCTTTTGATTGAGCAGTTTTGAAACTGTCTTTTTGTAGAATCTGTAAGTGGATGCGTGGACCTCTTTGAAGATTTCTTTGGAAACGGGAATATTTCCACAGAAAAACTAAACTGAAGCATTCTCAGAAACTGCTTTGTGATGTTTGTGTTCGAGCCACAGAGTTTAACATTGCTTTTCATAGAGCAGTTTTGAAATATTCTTTTGGCAGAATCTGCAAGTGGACATTTGGAGCGCTTTCAGGCCTGTGGTGGAAAAGGCCTGAAAGCCTTTTCCTTTATCTTCACAGAAAGACGAGAGAGAAGCATTGTCAGAAACTTCTTTGTGATGATTGCATTCAACTCACAGAGTTGAAGATTCCTTTTGAAACAGCAGTTTCGAAACACTCTTTCTGTGGGATCCGCAAGGGGATATTTGGACCTCTGTGAAGATTTCGTTGGAAACGGGATAATCTTCACCTAAAAGCTAAACGGAAGCATTCTCAGAAACTTCTTTGGGATGTTTGCATTCACCTCACAGAGTTGAACTTTCCCTTTGATAGCGCAGCTTCGACACACTTTTTCTACAATGTGCAAGTGGATATTTAGCGGGCTTGGAGGACTGTGTTGGAAAAGGAAATATCTTCTCCTAAAAACGACATAGAAGCATTCTCAGCAAACTGCTCTGTGATGATTGCATTCAACTCCCAGGAGTTGAACATTCCTTTTGATAGAGCAGTTTGCAAACACTCTTTTTGTAGAATCTGCAAGTGGAGATTTGGACCGCTTTGAGGCCTGTGGTAGTAAAGGAAAGAACTTCATATAAAAACTAGACGGTAGCACTCTCAGAAAATTCTTTGTGACGATGGAGTTTAACTCAGGGAGCTGAACATTCGTTATGATGGAGCAGTTTCCAAACACACGTTTTGTAGAATCTGCAAGGGGATATTTGGACCTCTCTGAGGATTTCGTTGGAAACGGGATCAACTTCCCATAACTGAACGGAAGCAAACTCAGAACATTCTTTGTGATGTTTGCATTCATCTCACAGAGTTGAACCTTCCTTTGATAGTTGAGGTTTGCAGCACCCTTGTAGGAGAATCTGCAAGTGTATATTTTGACCACTTTGTAGCCTTCGTTTGAAACGTCTATATCTTCACATCAAACCTAGACAGAAGCATTCTCAGAAAGTTTTCTGCGATGACTGCATTCAACTCACAGAGTTGAACAATCCTTTTGATGGAGCAGTTTTGAAACCCTCTTTCTTTGGAATCTGCAAGGGGATATGTGGACCTCTTTGAATATTTCACTGGAAACGGGATCATCTTCACATAAGAACTAAACAGAAGCATTCTCGGAAACTACTTTGTGATGTTTGTATTCAACTACCAGAGTTGAACTTTCCTTTTGAAAGAGCAGCTATGAAACACTCTTTTTCGAGAATCTGCAAGTGGACGTTTGGAGGGCTTTGAGGCCTGTGGTGGAAAAGGAAATATCTTCACATAAAAACTAGATAGAAGCATTCTCAGAAACGACTTTGTGAGGATGGCATTCAACTCATGGAGTTGAACAATCCTATTGATAGAGCAGATTGGAATCACTCTTTTTGTAGAATCTGCAAATGGAGATTTGGACTGCTTTGAGGCCTACGGTCGTATAGGAAGGAACTTCAGATAAAAGGCAAACGGAAGCATTCTCAGAATGTTCTTTGTGATGATGGAGTTTCACTCACAGAGCTGAACATGCCTTTTGATGGAGCAGTTTCCAAATACACTTTTGGTAGAATCTGCAGGTGGATATTTGGAGCTCTCTGAGGATTTCATTGGAAACGGGAATAATTTCCCATAACTAAACACAAACACTCTGAGAAAGTTCTTCATGATGAATGCATTTAACTCGCAGAGATGAACCTGCCTTTGAGAGTTCAGGTTCGAACCACACTTTCTGTATAATCTGCAAGTGGATATTTGGACCACTGGGTGGCCTTCGTTCGAAACGGGTATATGTTCACGTAAAAACTAAAGAGAAGCATTCTCAGAAACTTCTGAGTGATGATTGCATTCAAGTCACACAGTTGAACCCTCCTTTTGATGGAGCAGTTTTGAAACTGTCTTTTTGTAGAATCTGTAAGTGGATACGTGGACCTCTTTGAAGATTTCTTTGGAAACGGGAATATTTCCACAGAAAAACTAAACTGAAGCATTCTCAGAAACCGCTTTGTGATGTTTGTGTTTGAGCCGCAGAGTTTAACATTGCTTTTCATAGAGCAGTTTTGAAATATTCTTTTGGCAGAATCTGCAAGTGGACATTTGGAGCGCTTTCAGGCCTGTGGTGGAAAAGGCCTGAAAGCCTTTTCCTTTATCTTCACAGAAAGACGAGAGAGAAGCATTGTCAGAAACTTCTTTGTGATGATTGCATTCAACTCACAGAGTTGAAGATTCCTTTTGAAACAGCAGTTTCGAAACACTCTTTCTGTGGGATCCGCAAGGGGATATTTGGACCTCTTTGAAGGTTTCGTTGGAAACGGGATAATCTTCACCTAAAAGCTAAACGGAAGCATTCTCAGAAACTTCTTTGGGATGTTTGCATTCACCTCACAGAGTTGAACTTTCCCTTTGATAGCGCAGCTTTGACACACTTTTTCTACAATGTGCAAGTGGCTATTTAGCGGGCTTGGAGGACTGTGTTGGAAAAGGAAATATCTTCTCCTAAAAACGACATAGAAGCATTCTCAGAAACTGCTCTGTGATGATTGCATTCAACTCCCAGAGTTGAACATTCCTTTTGATAGAGCAGTTTGCAAACACTCTTTTTGTAGAATCTGCAAGTGGAGATTTGGACCGCTTTGAGGCCTGTGGTAGTGAAGGAAAGAGCTTCATATAAAAACCAGACGGTAGCACTCTCAGAAAATTCTTTGTGACGATGGAGTTTAACTCAGGGAGCTGAACATTCGTTATGATGGAGCAGTTTCCAAACACACGTTTTGTAGAATCTGCAAGGGGATATTTAGACCTCTCTGAGGATTTCGTTGGAAACGGGATCAACTTCCCATAACTGAACGGAAGCAAACTCAGAACATTCTTTGTGATGTTTGTATTCAACTCACAGAGTTGAACCTTCCTTTGATAGTTCAGGTTTGCAACACCCTTGTAGTAGAATCTGCAAGTGTATATTTTGACCACTTTGTAGCCTTCGTTTGAAACGTCTATATCTTCACATCAAACCTAGACAGAAGCATTCTCAGAAAGTTTTCTGCGATGACTGCATTCAACTCACAGAGTTGAACAATCCTTCTGATGGAGCAGTTTTGAAACCCTCTTTCTTTGGAATCTGCAAGGGGATATGTGGACCTCTTTGAAGATTTCACTGGAAACGGGATCATCTTCACATAAAAATTAAACAGAAGCATTCTCGGAAACTACTTTGTGATGTTTGTATTCAACTCCCAGAGTTGAACTTTCCTTTTGAAAGAGCAGCTATGAAACACTCCTTTTCGAGAATCTGCAAGTGGACGTTTGGAGGGCTTTGAGGCCTGTGGTGGAAAAGGAAATATCTTCACATAAAAACTAGATAGAAGCATTCTCAGAAACGACTTTGTGAGGATGGCATTCAACTCATGGAGTTGAACAATCCTATTGATAGAGCAGATTGGAATCACTCTTTTTGTAGAATCTGCAAATGGAGATTTGGACTGCTTTGAGGCCTACGGTCGTATAGGAAGGAACTTCAGATAAAAGGCAAACGGAAGCATTCTCAGAATATTCTTTGTGATGATGGAGTTTCACTCACAGAGCTGAACATGCCTTTTGATGGAGCAGTTTCCAAATACACTTTTGGTAGAATCTGCAGGTGGATATTTGGAGCTCTCTGAGGATTTCGTTGGAAACGGGAATAATTTCCCATAACTAAACACAAACACTCTGAGAAAGTTCTTCATGATGAATGCATTTAACTCGCAGAGATGAACCTGCCTTTGAGAGTTCAGGTTCGAAACACTCTTTCTGTATAATCTGCAAGTGGATATTTGGACCACTGGGTGGCCTTCGTTCGAAACGGGTATATGTTCACGTAAAAACTAAAGAGAAGCATTCTCAGAAACTTCTGAGTGATGATTGCATTCAAGTCACACGGTTGAACCCTCCTTTTGATGGAGAAGTTTTGAAACTGTCTTTTTGTAGAATCTGTAAGTGGATACGTGGACCTCTTTGAAGATTTCTTTGGAAACGGGAATATTTCCACAGAAAAACTAAACTGAAGCATTCTCAGAAACCGCTTTGTGATGTTTGTGTTCGAGCCACAGAGTTTAACATTGCTTTTCATAGAGCAGTTTTGAAATATTCTTTTCGCAGAATCTGCAAGTGGACATTTGGAGCGCTTTCAGGCCTGTGGTGGCAAAGGCCTGAAAGCCTTTTCCTTTATCTTCACAGAAAGACGAGAGAGAAGCATTGTCAGAAACTTCTTTGTGATGATTGCATTCAACTCACAGAGTTGAAGATTCCTTTTGAAACAGCAGTTTCGAAACACTCTTTCTGTGGGATCCGCAAGGGGATATTTGGACCTCTTTGAAGGTTTCGTTGGAAACGGGATAATCTTCACCTAAAAGCTAAACGGAAGCATTCTCAGAAACTTCTTTGGGATGTTTGCATTCACCTCACAGAGTTGAACTTTCCCTTTGATAGCGCAGCTTCGACACACTTTTTCTACAATGTGCAAGTGGATATTTAGCGGGCTTGGAGGACTGTGTTGGAAAAGGAAATATCTTCTCCTAAAAACGACATAGAAGCATTCTCAGAAACTGCTCTGTGATGATTGCATTCAACTCCCAGAGTTGAACATTCCTTTTGATAGAGCAGTTTGCAAACACTCTTTTTGTAGAATCTGCAAGTGGAGATTTGGACCGCTTTGAGGCCTGTGGTAGTGAAGGAAAGAACTTCATATAAAAACCAGACGGTAGCACTCTCAGAAAATTCTTTGTGACGATGGAGTTTAACTCAGGGAGCTGAACATTTGTTATGATGGAGCAGTTTCCAAACACACGTTTTGTAGAATCTGCAAGGGGATATTTGGACCTCTCTGAGGATTTCGTTGGAAACGGGATCAACTTCCCATAACTGAACGGAAGCAAACTCAGAACATTCTTTGTGATGTTTGTATTCAACTCACAGAGTTGAACCTTCCTTTGATAGTTCAGGTTTGCAACACCCTTGTAGTAGAATCTGCAAGTGTATATTTTGACCACTTTGTAGCCTTCGTTTGAAACGTCTATATCTTCACATCAAACCTAGACAGAAGCATTCTCAGAAAGTTTTCTGTGATGACTGCATTCAACTCACAGAGTTGAACAATCCTTCTGATGGAGCAGTTTTGAAACCCTCTTTCTTTGGAATCTGCAAGGGGATATGTGGACCTCTTTGAAGATTTCACTGGAAACGGGATCATCTTCACATAAAAACTAAACAGAAGCATTCTCGGAAACTACTTTGTGATGTTTGTATTCAACTCCCAGAGTTGAACTTTCCTTTTGAAAGAGCAGCTATGAAACACTCTTTTTCGAGAATCTGCAAGTGGACGTTTGGAGGGCTTTGAGGCCTGTGGTGGAAAAGGAAATATCTTCACATAAAAACTAGATAGAAGCATTCTCACAAACGACTTTGTGAGGATGGCATTCAAATCATGGAGTTGAACAATCCTATTGATAGAGCAGATTGGAATCACTCTTTTTGTAGAATCTGCAAATGGAGATTTGGACTGCTTTGAGGCCTACGGTAGTATAGGAAGGAACTTCATATAAAAGGCAAACGGAAGCATTCTCAGAATATTCTTTGTGATGATGGAGTTTCACTCACAGAGCTGAACATGCCTTTTGATGGAGCAGTTTCCAAATACACTTTTGGTAGAATCTGCAGGTGGATATTTGGACCTCTCTGAGGATTTCGTTGGAAACGGGAATAATTTCCCATAACTAAACACAAACACTCTGAGAAAGTTCTTCATGATGAATGCATTTAACTCGCAGAGATGAACCTGCCTTTGAGAGTTCAGGTTCGAAACACTCTTTCTGTAGAATCTGCAAGTGGATATTTGGACCACTGGGTGGCGTTCGTTCGAAACGGGTATATGTTCACGTAAAAACTAAAGAGAAGCATTCTCAGAAACTTCTGAGTGATGATTGCATTCAAGTCACACAGTTGAACCCTCCTTTTGATGGAGCAGTTTTGAAACTGTCTTTTTGTAGAATCTGTAAGTGGATACGTGGACCTCTTTGAAGATTTCTTTGGAAACGGGAATATTTCCACAGAAAAACTAAACTGAAGCATTCTCAGAAACTGCTTTGTGATGTTTGTGTTCGAGCCACAGAGTTTAACATTGCTTTTCATAGAGCAGTTTTGCAATATTCTTTTCACAGAATCTGCAAGTGGACATTTGGAGCGCTTTCAGGCCTGTGGTGGAAAAGGCCTGAAAGCCTTTTCCTTTATCTTCACAGAAAGACGAGAGAGAAGCATTGTCAGAAACTTCTTTGTGATGATTGCATTCAACTCACAGAGTTGAAGATTCCTTTTGAAACAGCAGTTTCGAAACACTCTTTCTGTGGGATCCGCAAGGGGATATTTGGACCTCTTTGAAGGTTTCGTTGGAAACGGGATAATCTTCACCTAAAAGCTAAACGGAAGCATTCTCAGAAACTTCTTTGGGATGTTTGCATTCACCTCACAGAGTTGAACTTTCCCTTTGATAGCGCAGCTTTGACACACTTTTTCTACAATGTGCAAGTGGCTATTTAGCGGGCTTGGAGGACTGTGTTGGAAAAGGAAATATCTTCTCCTAAAAACGACATAGAAGCATTCTCAGAAACTGCTCTGTGATGATTGCATTCAACTCCCAGAGTTGAACATTCCTTTTGATAGAGCAGTTTGCAAACACTCTTTTTGTAGAATCTGCAAGTGGAGATTTGGACCGCTTTGAGGCCTGTGGTAGTGAAGGAAAGAACTTCATATAAAAACCAGACGGTAGCACTCTCAGAAAATTCTTTGTGACGATGGAGTTTAACTCAGGGAGCTGAACATTCGTTATGATGGAGCAGTTTCCGAACACACGTTTTGTAGAATCTGCAAGGGGATATTTGGACCTCTCTGAGGATTTCGTTGGAAACGGGATCAACTTCCCATAACTGAACGGAAGCAAACTCAGAACATTCTTTGTGATGTTTGTATTCAACTCCCAGAGTTGAAATTTCCTTTTGAAAGAGCAGCTATGAAACACTCTTTTTCGAGAATCTGCAAGTGGACTTTTGGAGGGCTTTGAGGCCTGTGGTGGAAAAGGAAATATCTTCACATAAAAACTAGATAGAAGCATTCTCAGAAACTACTTTGTGAGGATGGCATTCAACTCACGGAGTTGAACAATCCTATTGATAGAGCAGATTGGAAACACTCTTTTTGTAGAATCTGTAAATGGAGATTTGGACTGCTTTGAGGCCTACGGTAGTATAGGAAGGAACTTCATATAAAAAGCAAACGGAAGCATTCTCAGAATATTCTTTGTGATGATGGAGTTTCACTCACAGAGCTGAACATGCCTTTTGATGGAGCAGTTTCCAAATACACTTTTGGTAGAATCTGCAGGTGGATATTTGGAGCTCTCTGAGGATTTCGTTGGAAACGGGAATAATTTCCCATAACTAAACACAAACACGCTGAGAAAGTTCTTCATGATGAATGCATTGAACTCGCAGAGATGAACCTGCCTTTGAGAGTTCAGGTTCGAAACACTCTTTCTGTAGAATCTGCAAGTGGATATTTGGACCACTGGCTGGCCTTCGTTCGAAACGGGTATATGTTCACGTAAAAACTAAAGAGAAGCATTCTCAGAAACTTCTGAGTGATGATTGCATTCAAGTCACACGGTTGAACCCTCCTTTTGATGGAGCAGTTTTGAAACTGTCTTTTTGTAGAATCTGTAAGTGGATACGTGGACCTCTTTGAAGATTTCTTTGGAAACGGGAATATTTCCACAGAAAAACTAAACTGAAGCATTCTCAGAAACTGCTTTGTGATGTTTGTGTTCGAGCCACAGAGTTTAACATTGCTTTTCATAGAGCAGTTTTGAAATATTCTTTTGGCAGAATCTACAAGTGGACATTTGGAGCGCTTTCAGGCCTGTGGTGGAAAAGGCCTGAAAGCCTTTTCCTTTATCTTCACAGAAAGACGAGAGAGAAGCATTGTCAGAAACTTCTTTGTGATGATTGCATTCAACTCACAGAGTTGAAGATTCCTTTTGAAACAGCAGTTTCGAAACACTCTTTCTGTGGGATCCGCAAGGGGATATTTGGACCTCTTTGAAGGTTTCGTTGGAAACGGGATAATCTTCACCTAAAAGCTAAACGGAAGCATTCTCAGAAACTTCTTTGGGATGTTTGCATTCACCTCACAGAGTTGAACTTTCCCTTTGTTAGCGCAGCTTCGACACACTTTTTCTACAATGTGCAAGTCGATATTTAGCGGGCTTGGAGGACTGTGTTGGAAAAGGAAATATCTTCTCCTAAAAACGACATAGAAGCATTCTCAGAAACTGCTCTGTGATGATTGCATTCAACTCCCAGAGTTGAACATTCCTTTTGATAGAGCAGTTTGCAAACACTCTTTTTGTAGAATCTGCAAGTGGAGATTTGGACTGCTTTGAGGCCTGTGGTAGTAAAGGAAAGAACTTCCTTTAAAAACTAGACGGTAGCACTCTCAGAAAATTCTTTGTGACGATGGAGTTTAACTCAGAGAGCTGAACATTCGTTATGATGGAGCAGTTTCCAAACACACATTTTGTAGAATCTGCAAGGGGATATTTGGACCTCTCTGAGGATTTCGTTGGAAACGGGATCAACTTCCCATAACTGAACGGAAGCAAACTCAGAACATTCTTTGTGATGTTTGTATTCAACTCCCAGAGTTGAAATTTCCTTTTGAAAGAGCAGCTATGAAACACTCTTTTTCGAGAATCTGCAAGTGGACGTTTGGAGGGCTTTGAGGCCTGTGGTGGAAAAGGAAATATCTTCACATAAAAACTAGATAGAAGCATTCTCAGAAACTACTTTGTGAGGATGGCATTCAACTCATGGAGTTGAACAATCCTATTGATAGAGCAGATTGGAATCACTCTTTTTATAGAATCTGCAAATGGAGATTTGGACTGCTTTGAGGCCTACGGTAGTACAGGAAGGAACTTCATATAAAAGGCAAACGGAAGCATTCTCAGAATATTCTTTGTGATGATGGAGTTTCACTGACAGAGCTGAACATGCCTTTTGATGGAGCAGTTTCCAAATACACTTTTGGTAGAATCTGCAGGTGGATATTTGGAGCTCTTTGAGGATTTCGTTGGAAACGGGAATAATTTCCCATAACTAAACACAAACACGCTGAGAAAGTTCTTCATGATGAATGCATTTAACTCGCAGAGATGAACCTGCCTTTGAGAGTTCAGTTTCGAAACACTCTTTCTGTAGAATCTGCAAGTGGATATTTGGACCACTGGGTGGCCTTCGTTCGAAACGGGTATATGTTCACGTAAAAACTAAAGAGAAGCATTCTCAGAAACTTCTGAGTGATGATTGCATTCAAGTCACACAGTTGAACCCTCCTTTTGATGGAGCAGTTTTGAAACTGTCTTTTTGTAGAATCTGTAAGTGGATACGTGGACCTCTTTGAAGATTTCTTTGGAAACGGGAATATTTCCACAGAAAAACTAAACTGAAGCATTCTCAGAAACCGCTTTGTGATGTTTGTGTTCGAGCCACAGAGTTTAACATTGCTTTTCATAGAGCAGTTTTGAAATATTCTTTTCGCAGAATCTGCAAGTGGACATTTGGAGCGCTTTCAGGCCTGTGGTGGAAAAGGCCTGAAAGCCTTTTCCTTTATCTTCACAGAAAGACGAGAGAGAAGCATTGTCAGAAACTTCTTTGTGATGATTGCATTCAACTCACAGAGTTGAAGATTCCTTTTGAAACAGCAGTTTCGAAACACTCTTTCTGTGGGATCCGCAAGGGGATATTTGGACCTCTTTGAAGGTTTCGTTGGAAACGGGATAATCTTCACCTAAAAGCTAAACGGAAGCATTCTCAGAAACTTCTTTGGGATGTTTGCATTCACCTCACAGAGTTGAACTTTCCCTTTGATAGCGCAGCTTTGACACACTTTTTCTACAATGTGCAAGTGGCTATTTAGCGGGCTTGGAGGACTGTGTTGGAAAAGGAAATATCTTCTCCTAAAAACGACATAGAAGGATTCTCAGAAACTGCTCTGTGATGATTGCATTCAACTCCCAGAGTTGAACATTCCTTTTGATAGAGCAGTTTGCAAACACTCTTTTTGTAGAATCTGCAAGTGGAGATTTGGACCGCTTTGAGGCCTGTGGTAGTAACGGAAAGAACTACATATAAAAACTAGACGGTAGCACTCTCAGAAAATTCTTTGTGACGATGGAGTTTAACTCAGAGAGCTGAACATTCGTTATGATGGAGCAGTTTCCAAACACACGTTTTGTAGAATCTGCAAGGGGATATTTGGACCTCTCTGAGGATTTCGTTGGAAACGGGATCAACTTCCCATAACTGAACGGAAGCAAACTCAGAACATTCTTTATGATGTTTGAATTCAACTCACAGAGTTGAACCTTCCTTTGATAGTTCAGGTTTGCAACACCCTTGTAGTAGAATCTGCAAGTGTATATTTTGACCACTTTGTAGCATTCGTTTGAAACGTCTATATCTTCACATCAAACCTAGACAGAACCATTCTCAGAAAGTTTTCTGCGATGACTGCATTCAACTCACAGAGGTGAACAATCCTTTTGATGGAGCAGTTTTGAAACCCTCTTTCTTTGGAATCTGCAAGGGGATATGTGGACCTCTTTGAAGATTTCACTGGAAACGGGATCATCTTCACATAAGAACTAAACAGAAGCATTCTCGGAAACTACTTTGTGATGTTTGTATTCAACTGCCAGAGTTGAACTTTCCTTTTGAAAGAGCAGCTATGAAACACTCTTTTTCGAGAATCTGAAAGTGGACAGTTTGGAGGGCTTTGAGGCCTGTGGTGGAAAAGGAAATATCTTCACATAAAAACTAGATAGAAGCATTCTCAGAGACTACTTTGTGAGGATGGCATTCAACTCATGGAGTTGAACAATCCTATTGATAGAGCAGATTGGAATCACTCTTTTTGTAGGATCTGCAAATGGAGATTTGGACTGCTTTGAGGCCTACGGTAGTATAGGAAGGAACTTCATATAAAAGGCAAATGGAAGCATTCTCAGAATATTCTTTGTGATGATGGAGTTTCACTCACAGAGCTGAACATGCCTTTTGATGGAGCAGTTTCCAAATACACTTTTGGTAGAATCTGCAGGTGGATATTTGGACCTCTCTGAGGATTTCGTTGGAAACGGGAATAATTTCCCATAACTAAACACAAACACTCTGAGAAAGTTCTTCATGATGAATGCATTTAACTCGCAGAGATGAACCTGCCTTTGAGAGTTCATGTTCGAAACACTCTTTCTGTAGAATCTGCAAGTGGATATTTGGACCACTGGCTGGCCTTCGTTCGAAACGGGTATATCTTCACGTAAAAACTAAAGAGAAGCATTCTCAGAAACTTCTGAGTGATGATTGCATTCAAGTCACACAGTTGAACCCTCCTTTTGATGGAGCAGTTTTGAAACTGTCTTTTTGTAGAATCTGTAAGTGGATACGTGGACCTCTTTGAAGATTTCTTTGGAAACGGGAATATTTCCACAGAAAAACTAAACTGAAACATTCTCAGAAACAGCTTTGTGATGTTTGTGTTCCAGCCACAGAGTTTAACATTGCTTTTCATAGAGCAGTTTTGAAATATTCTTTTCGCAGAATCTGCAAGTGGACATTTGGAGCGCTTTCAGGCCTGTGGTGGCAAAGGCCTGAAAGCCTTTTCCTTTATCTTCACAGAAAGACGAGAGAGAAGCATTGTCAGAAACTTCTTTGTGATGATTGCATTCAACTCACAGAGTTGAAGATTCCTTTTGAAACAGCTGTTTCGAAACACTCTTTCTGTGGGATCCGCAAGGGGATATTTGGACCTCTTTGAAGGTTTCGTTGGAAACGGGATAATCTTCACCTAAAAGCTAAACGGAAGCATTCTCAGAAACTTCTTTGGGATGTTTGCATTCACCTCACAGAGTTGAACTTTCCCTTTGATAGCGCAGCTTTGACACACTTTTTCTACAATGTGCAAGTGGCTATTTAGCGGGCTTGGAGGACTGTGTTGGAAAAGGAAATATCTTCTCCTAAAAACGACATAGAAGCATTCTCAGAAACTGCTCTGTGATGATTGCATTCAACTCCCAGAGTTGAACATTCCTTTTGATAGAGCAGTTTGCAAACACTCTTTTTGTAGAATCTGCAAGTGGAGATTTGGACCGCTTTGAGGCCTGTGGTAGTGAAGGAAAGAACTTCATATAAAAACCAGACGGTAGCACTCTCAGAAAATTCTTTGTGACGATGGAGTTTAACTCAGGGAGCTGAACATTCGTTATGATGGAGCAGTTTCCAAACACACGTTTTGTAGAATCTGCGAGGGGATATTTGGACCTCTCTGAGGATTTCGTTGGAAACGGGATCAACTTCCCATAACTGAACGGAAGCAAACTCAGAACATTCTTTGTGATGTTTGTATTCAACTCACAGAGTTGAACCTTCCTTTGATAGTTCAGGTTTGCAACACCCTTGTAGTAGATTCTGCAAGTGTATATTTTGACCACTTTGTAGCCTTCGTTTGAAACGTCTATATCTTCACCTGAAACCTAGACAGAAGCATTCTCAGAAAGTTTTCTGCGATGACTGCATTCAACTCACAGAGTTGAACAATCCTTCTGATGGAGCAGTTTTGAAACCCTCTTTCTTTGGAATCTGCAAGGGGATATGTGGACCTCTTTGAAGATTTCACTGGAAACGGGATCATCTTCATATAAAAACTAAACAGAAGCATTCTCAGAAACTACTTTGTGATGTTTGTATTCACCTCCCAGAGTTGAACTTTCCTTGTGAAAGAGCAGCTATGAAACACTCTTTTTCGAGAATCTGCAAGTGGACGTTTGGAGGGCTTTGAGTCCTGTGGTGGAAAAGGAAATATCTTCACATAAAAACTAGATAGAAGCATTCTCAGAAACTACTTTGTCAGGATGGCATTCAACTCATGGAGTTGAACAATCCTATTGATAGAGCAGATTGGAATCACTCTTTTTGTAGAATCTGCAAATGGAGATTTGGACTGCTTTGAGGCCTACGGTCGTATAGGAAGGAACTTCATATAAAAGGCAAACGGAAGCATTCTCAGAATATTCTTTCTGATGATGGAGTTTCACTGACAGAGCTGAACATGCCTTTTGATGGAGCAGTTTCCAAATACACTTTTGGTAGAATCTGCAGGTGGATATTTGGAGCTCTCTGAGGATTTCGTTGGAAACGGGAATAATTTCCCATAACTAAACACAAACACTCTGAGAAAGTTCTTCATGATGAATGCATTTAACTCGCAGAGATGAACCTGCCTTTGAGAGTTCAGGTTCGAAACACTCTTTCTGTATAATCTGCAAGTGGATATTTGGACCACTGGGTGGCCTTCGTTCGAAACGGGTATATGTTCACGTAAAAACTAAAGAGAAGCATTCTCAGAAACTTCTGAGTGATGATTGCATTCAAGTCACACAGTTGAACCCTCCTTTTGATGGAGCAGTTTTGAAACTGTCTTTTTGTAGAATCTGTAAGTGGATACGTGGACCTCTTTGAAGATTTCTTTGGAAACGGGAATATTTCCACAGAAAAACTAAACTGAAGCATTCTCAGAAACCGCTTTGTGATGTTTGTGTTCAAGCCACAGAGTTTAACATTGCTTTTCATAGAGCAGTTTTGAAATATTCTTTTCGCAGAATCTGCAAGTGGACATTTGGAGCGCTTTCAGGCCTGTGGTGGAAAAGGCCTGAAAGCCTTTTCCTTTATCTTCACAGAAAGACGAGAGAGAAGCATTGTCAGAAACTTCTTTGTGATGATTGCATTCAACTCACAGAGTTGAAGATTCCTTTTGAAACAGCAGTTTCGAAACACTCTTTCTGTGGGATCCGCAAGGGGATATTTGGACCTCTTAGAAGGTTTCGTTGGAAACGGGATTATCTTCACCTAAAAGCTAAACGGAAGCATTCTCAGAAACTTCTTTGGGATGTTTGCATTCACCTCACAGAGTTGAACTTTCCCTTTGATAGCGCAGCTTCGACACACTTTTTCTACAATGTGCAAGTGGCTATTTAGCGGGCTTGGAGGACTGTGTTGGAAAAGGAAATATCTTCTCCTAAAAACGACATAGAAGCATTCTCAGAAACTGCTCTGTGATGATTGCATTCAACTCCCAGAGTTGAACATTCCTTTTGATAGAGCAGTTTGCAAACACTCTTTTTGTAGAATCTGCAAGTGGAGATTTGGACCGCTTTGAGGCCTGTGGTAGTGAAGGAAAGAACTTCATATAAAAACCAGACGGTAGCACTCTCAGAAAATTCTTTGTGACGATGGAGTTTAACTCAGGGAGCTGAACATTCGTTATGATGGAGCAGTTTCCAAACACACGTTTTGTAGAATCTGCAAGGGGATATTTGGACCTCTCTGAGGATTTCGTTGGAAACGGGATCAACTTCCCATAACTGAACGGAAGCAAACTCAGAACATTCTTTGTGATGTTTGTATTCAACTCACAGAGTTGAACCTTCCTTTGATAGTTCAGGTTTGCAACACCCTTGTAGTAGAATCTGCAAGTGTATATTTTGACCACTTTGTAGCCTTCGTTTGAAACGTCTATATCTTCACATCAAACCTAGAAAGAAGCATTCTCAGAAAGTTTTCTGCGATGACTGCATTCAACTCACAGAGTTGAACAATCCTTCTGATGGAGCAGTTTTGAAACCCTCTTTCTTTGGAATCTGCAAGGGGATATGTGGACCTCTTTGAAGATTTCACTGGAAACGGGATCATCTTCACATAAAAACTAAACAGAAGCATTCTCGGAAACTACTTTGTGATGTTTGTATTCAACTCCCAGAGTTGAACTTTCCTTTTGAAAGAGCAGCTATGAAACACTCTTTTTCGAGAATCTGCAAGTGGACGTTTGGAAGGCTTTGAGGCCTGTGGTGGAAAAGGAAATATCTTCACATAAAAACTAGATAGAAGCATTCTCAGAAACGACTTGGTGAGGATGGCATTCAACTCATGGAGTTGAACAATCCTATTGATAGAGCAGATTGGAATCACTCTTTTTGTAGAATCTGCAAATGGAGATTTGGACTGCTTTGAGGCCTACGGTCGTATAGGAAGGAACTTCATATAAAAGGCAAACGGAAGCATTCTCAGAATATTCTTTGTGATGATGGAGTTTCACTCACAGAGCTGAACATGCCTTTTGATGGAGCAGTTTCCAAATACACTTTTGGTAGAATCTGCAGGTGGATATTTGGAGCTCTCTGAGGATTTCGTTGGAAACGGGAATAATTTCCCATAACTAAACACAAACACTCTGAGAAAGTTCTTCATGATGAATGCATTTAACTCGCAGAGATGAACCTGCCTTTGAGAGTTCAGGGTCGAAACACTCTTTCTGTAGAATCTGCAAGTGGATATTTGGACCACTGGCTGGCCTTCGTTCGAAACGGGTATATGTTCACGTAAAAACTAAAGAGAAGCATTCTCAGAAACTTCTGAGTGATGACTGCATTCAAGTCACACAGTTGAACCCTCCTTTTGATGGAGCAGTTTTGAAACTGTCTTTTTGTAGAATCTGTAAGTGGATACGTGGACCTCTTTGAAGATTTCTTTGGAAACGGGAATATTTCCACAGAAAAACTAAACTGAAGCATTCTCAGAAACTGCTTTGTGATGTTTGTGTTCGAGCCACAGAGTTTAACATTGCTTTTCATAGAGCAGTTTTGAAATATTCTTTTGGCAGAATCTGCAAGTGGACATTTGGAGCGCTTTCAGGCCTGTGGTGGAAAAGGCCTGAAAGCCTTTTCCTTTATCTTCACAGAAAGACGAGAGAGAAGCATTGTCAGAAACTTCTTTGTGATGATTGCATTCAACTCACAGAGTTGAAGATTCCTTTTGAAACAGCAGTTTCGAAACACTCTTTCTGTGGGATCCGCAAGGGGATATTTGGACCTACTTTGAAGGTTTCGTTGGAAACGGGATAATCTTCACCTAAAAGCTAAACGGAAGCATTCTCAGAAACTTCTTTGGGATGTTTGCATTCACCTCACAGAGTTGAACTTTCCCTTTGATAGCGCAGCTTTGACACACTTTTTCTACAATGTGCAAGTGGCTATTTAGCGGGCTTGGAGGACTGTGTTGGAAAAGGAAATATCTTCTCCTAAAAACGACATAGAAGCATTCTCAGAAACTGCTCTGTGATGATTGCATTCAACTCCCAGAGTTGAACATTCCTTTTGATAGAGCAGTTTGCAAACACTCTTTTTGTAGAATCTGCAAGTGGAGATTTGGACCGCTTTGAGGCCTGTGGTAGTAAAGGAAATAACTTCATATAAAAACCAGACGGTAGCACTCTCAGAAAATTCTTTGTGACGATGGAGTTTAACTCAGGGAGCTGAACATTCGTTATGATGGAGCAGTTTCCAAACACACGTTTTGTAGAATCTGCAAGGGGATATTTAGACCTCTCTGAGGATTTCGTTGGAAACGGGATCAACTTCCCATAACTGAACGGAAGCAAACTCAGAACATTCTTTGTGATGTTTGTATTCAACTCACAGAGTTGAACCTTCCTTTGATAGTTCAGGTTTGCAACACCCTTGTAGTAGAATCTGCAAGTGTATATTTTGACCACTTTGTAGCCTTCGTTTGAAACGTCTATATCTTCACATCAAACCTAGAAAGAAGCATTCTCAGAAAGTTTTCTGCGATGACTGCATTCAACTCACAGAGTTGAACAATCCTTCTGATGGAGCAGTTTTGAAACCCTCTTTCTTTGGAATCTGCAAGGGGATATGTGGACCTCTTTGAAGATTTCACTGGAAACGGGATCATCTTCACATAAAAACTAAACAGAAGCATTCTCGGAAACTACTTTGTGATGTTTGTATTCAACTGCCAGAGTTGAACTTTCCTTTTGAAAGAGCAGCTATGAAACACTCTTTTTCGAGAATCTGCAAGTGGACGTTTGGAGGGCTTTGAGGCCTGTGGTGGAAAAGGAAATATCTTCACATAAAAACTAGATAGAAGCATTCTCAGAAACGACTTTGTGAGGATGGCATTCAACCTCATGGAGTTGAACAATCCTATTGATAGAGCAGATTGGAATCACTCTTTTTGTGGAATCTGCAAATGGAGATTTGGACTGCTTTGAGGCCTACGGTCGTATAGGAAGGAACTTCAGATAAAAGGCAAACGGAAGCATTCTCAGAATATTCTTTGTGATGATGGAGTTTCACTCACAGAGCTGAACATGCCTTTTGATGGAGCAGTTTCCAAATACACTTTTGGTAGAATCTGCAGGTGGATATTTGGAGCTCTCTGAGGATTTCGTTGGAAAGGGGAATAATTTCCCATAACTAAACACAAACACTCTGAGAAAGTTCTTCATGATGAATGCATTTAACTCGCAGAGATGAACCTGCCTTTGAGAGTTCAGGTTCGAAACACTCTTTCTGTAGAATCTGCAAGTGGATATTTGGACCACTGGGTGGCCTTCGTTCGAAACGGGTATATGTTCACATAAAAACTAAAAAGAAGCATTCTCAGAAACTTCTGAGTGATGATTGCATTCAAGTCACATAGTTGAACCCTCCTTTTGATGGAGTAGTTTTGAAACTGTCTTTTTGTAGAATCTGTAAGTGGATACGTGGACCTCTTTGAAGATTTCTTTGGAAACGGGAATATTTCCACAGAAAAACTAAACTGAAGCATTCTCAGAAACTGCTTTGTGATGTTTGTGTTCGAGCCACAGAGTTTAACATTGCTTTTCATAGAGCAGTTTTGAAATATTCTTTTCGCAGAATCTGCAAGTGGACATTTGGAGCGCTTTCAGGCCTGTGGTGGAAAAGGCCTGAAAGCCTTTTCCTTTATCTTCACAGAAAGACGAGAGAGAAGCATTGTCAGAAACTTCTTTGTGATGATTGCATTCAACTCACAGAGTTGAAGATTCCTTTTGAAACAGCAGTTTTGAAACACTCTTTCTGTGGGATCCGCAAGGGGATATTTGGACCTCTTTGAAGGTTTCGTTGGAAACGGGATAATCTTCACCTAAAAGCTAAACGGAAGCATTCTCAGAAACTTCTTTGGGATGTTTGCATTCACCTCACAGAGTTGAACTTTCCCTTTGATAGCGCAGCTTTGACACACTTTTTCTACAATGTGCAAGTGGCTATTTAGCGGGCTTGGAGGACTGTGTTGGAAAAGGAAATATCTTCTAAAAACGACATAGAAGCATTCTCAGAAACTGCTCTGTGATGATTGCATTCAACTCCCAGAGTTGAACATTCCTTTTGATAGAGCAGTTTGCAAACACTCTTTTTGTAGAATCTGCAAGTGGAGATTTGGACCGCTTTGAGGCCTGTGGTAGTGAAGGAAAGAACTTCATATAAAAACCAGACGGTAGCACTCTCAGAAAATTCTTTGTGACGATGGAGTTTAACTCAGGGAGCTGAACATTCGTTATGATGGAGCAGTTTCCAAAAACACGTTTTGTAGAATCTGCGAGGGGATATTTGGACCTCTCTGAGGATTTCGTTGGAAACGGGATCAACTTCCCATAACTGAACGGAAGCAAACTCAGAACATTCTTTGTGATGTTTGTATTCAACTCACAGAGTTGAACCATCCTTTGATAGTTCAGGTTTGTAACACCCTTGTAGTAGAATCTGCAAGTGTATATTTTGACCACATTGTAGCCTTCGTTTGAAACGTCTATATCTTCACATCAAACCTAGACAGAAGCATTCTCAGAAAGTTTTCTGCGATGACTGCATTCAACTCACAGAGTTGAACAATCCTTCTGATGGAGCAGTTTTGAAACCCTCTTTCTTTGGAATCTGCAAGGGGATATGTGGACCTCTTTGAAGATTTCACTGGAAACGGGATCATCTTCACATAAAAACTAAACAGAAGCATTCTCGGAAACTACTTTGTGATGTTTGTATTCAACTCCCAGAGTTGAACTTTCCTTTTGAAAGAGCAGCTATGAAACACTCCTTTTCGAGAATCTGCAAGTGGACGTTTGGAGGTCTTTGAGGCCTGTGGTGGAAAAGGAAATATCTTCACATAAAAACTAGATAGAAGCATTCTCAGAAACGACTTGGTGAGGATGGCATTCAACTCATGGAGTTGAACAATCCTATTGATAGAGCAGATTGGAATCACTCTTTTTGTAGAATCTGCAAATGGAGATTTGGACTGCTTTGAGGCCTACGGTCGTATAGGAAGGAACTTCATATAAAAGGCAAACGGAAGCATTCTCAGAATATTCTTTGTGATGATGGAGTTTCACTCACAGAGCTGAACATGCCTTTTGATGGAGCAGTTTCCAAATACACTTTTGGTAGAATCTGCAGGTGGATATTTGGAGCTCTCTGAGGATTTCGTTGGAAACGGGAATAATTTCCCATAACTAAACACAAACACTCTGAGAAAGTTCTTCATGATGAATGCATTTAACTCGCAGAGATGAACCTGCCTTTGAGAGTTCAGGTTCGAAACACTCTTTCTGTAGAATCTGCAAGTGGATATTTGGACCACTGGCTGGCCTTCGTTCGAAACGGGTATATGTTCACGTAAAAACTAAAGAGAAGCATTCTCAGAAACTTCTGAGTGATGATTGCATTCAAGTCACACAGTTGAACCCGCCTTTTGATTGAGCAGTTTTGAAACTGTCTTTTTGTAGAATCTGTAAGTGGATACGTGGACCTCTTGGAAGATGTCTTTGGAAACGGGAATATTTCCACAGAAAAACTAAACTGAAGCATTCTCAGAAACTGCTTTGTGATGTTGGTGTTCGAGCCGCAGAGTTTAACATTGCTTTTCATAGAGCAGTTTTGAAATATTCTTTTGGCAGAATCTGCAAGTGGACATTTAGAGCGTTTTCAGGCCTGTGGTGGAAAAGGCCTGAAAGCCTTTTCCTTTATCTTCACAGAAAGACGAGAGAGAAGCATTGTCAGAAACTGCTTTGTGATGATTGCATTCAACCCACAGAGTTGTAGATTCCTTTTGAAACAGCAGTTTCGAAACACTCTTTCTGTGGGATCCGCAAGGGGATATTTGGACCTCTTTGAAGATTTCGTTGGAAACGGGATAATCTTCACCTAAAAGCTAAACGGAAGCATTCTCAGAAACTTCTTTGGGATGTTTGCATTCACCTCACAGAGTTGAACTTTCCCTTTGATAGCGCAGCTTTGACACACTTTTTCTACAATGTGCAAGTGGCTATTTAGCGGGCTTGGAGGACTGTGTTGGAAAAGGAAATATCTTCTCCTAAAAACGACATAGAAGCATTCTCAGAAACTGCTCTGTGATGATTGCATTCAACTCCCAGAGTTGAACATTCCTTTTGATAGAGCAGTTTGCAAACACTCTTTTTGTAGAATCTGCAAGTGGAGATTTGGACCGCTTTGAGGCCTGTGGTAGTGAAGGAAAGAACTTCATATAAAAACCAGACGGTAGCACTCTCAGAAAATTCTTTGTGACGATGGAGTTTAACTCAGGGAGCTGAACATTCGTTATGATGGAGCAGTTTCCAAACACACGTTTTGTAGAATCTGTGAGGGGATATTTGGACCTCTCTGAGGATTTCGTTGGAAACGGGATCAACTTCCCATAACTGAACGGAAGCAAACTCAGAACATTCTTTGTGATGTTTGTATTCAACTCACAGAGTTGAACCTTCCTTTGATAGTTCAGGTTTGCAACACCCTTGTAGTAGAATCTGCAAGTGTATATTTTGACCACTTTGTAGCCTTCGTTTGAAACATGCTATATCTTCACATCAAACCTAGACAGAAGCATTCTCAGAAAGTTTTCTGCGATGACTGCATTCAACTCACAGAGTTGAACAATCCTTCTGATGGAGCAGTTTTGAAACCCTCTTTCTTTGGAATCTGCAAGGGGATATGTGGACCTCTTTGAAGATTTCACTGGAAACGGGATCATCTTCACATAAAAACTAAACAGAAGCATTCTCGGAAACTACTTTGTGATGTTTGTATTCAACTCCCAGAGTTGAACTTTCCTTTTGAAAGAGCAGCTATGAAACACTCTTTTTCGAGAATCTGCAAGTGGACTGTTTGGAGGGCTTTGAGGCCTGTGGTGGAAAAGGAAATATCTTCACATAAAAACTAGATAGAAGCATTCTCAGAAACGACTTTGTGAGGATGGCATTCAACTCATGGAGTTGAACAATCCTATTGATAGAGCAGATTGGAATCACTCTTTTTGTAGAATCTGCAAATGGAGATTTGGACTGCTTTGAGGCCTACGGTCGTATAGGAAGGAAGTTCATATAAAAGGCAAACGGAAGCATTCTCAGAATATTCTTTGTGATGATGGAGTTTCACTCACAGAGCTGAACATGCCTTTTGATGGAGCAGTTTCCAAATACACTTTTGGTAGAATCTGCAGGTGGATATTTGGAGCTCTCTGAGGATTTCGTTGGAAACGGGAATAATTTCCCATAACTAAACACAAACACTCTGAGAAAGTTCTTCATGATGAATGCATTTAACTCGCAGAGATGAACCTGCCTTTGAGAGTTCAGGTTCGAAACACTCTTTCTGTAGAATCTGCAAGTGGATATTTGGACCACTGGGTGGCCTTCGTTCGAAACGGGTATATGTTCACGTAAAAACTAAAGAGAAGCATTCTCAGAAACTTCTGAGTGATGATTGCATTCAAGTCACACAGTTGAACCCTCCTTTTGATGGAGCAGTTTTGAAACTGTCTTTTTGTAGAATCTGTAAGTGGATACGTGGACCTCTTTGAAGATTTCTTTGGAAACGGGAATATTTCCACAGAAAAACTAAACTGAAACATTCTCAGAAACCGCTTTGTGATGTTTGTGTTCCAGCCACAGAGTTTAACATTGCTTTTCATAGAGCAGTTTTGAAATATTCTTTTCGCAGAATCTGCAAGTGGACATTTGGAGCGCTTTCAGGCCTGTGGGTGGAAAAGGCCTGAAAGCCTTTTCCTTTATCTTCACAGAAAGACGAGAGAGAAGCATTGTCAGAAACTTCTTTGTGATGATTGCATTCAACTCACAGAGTTGAAGATTCCTTTTGAAACAGCAGTTTCGAAACACTCTTTCTGTGGGATCCGCAAGGGGATATTTGGACCTCTTTGAAGGTTTCGTTGGAAACGGGATAATCTTCACCTAAAAGCTAAACGGAAGCATTCTCAGAAACTTCTTTGGGATGTTTGCATTCACCTCACAGAGTTGAACTTTCCCTTTGATAGCGCAGCTTTGACACACTTTTTCTACAATGTGCAAGTGGCTATTTAGCGGGCTTGGAGGACTGTGTTGGAAAAGGAAATATCTTCTCCTAAAAACGACATAGAAGCATTCTCAGAAACTGCTCTGTGATGATTGCATTCAACTCCCAGAGTTGAACATTCCTTTTGATAGAGCAGTTTGCAAACACTCTTTTTGTAGAATCTGCAAGTGGAGATTTGGACCGCTTTGAGGCCTGTGGTAGTGAAGGAAAGAACTTCATATAAAAACCAGACGGTAGCACTCTCAGAAAATTCTTTGTGACGATGGAGTTTAACTCAGGGAGCTGAACATTCGTTATGATGGAGCAGTTTCCAAACACACGTTTTGTAGAATCTGCAAGGGGATATTTGGACCTCTCTGAGGATTTCGTTGGAAACGGGATCAACTTCCCATAACTGAACGGAAGCAAACTCAGAACATTCTTTGTGATGTTTGTATTCAACTCACAGAGTTGAACCTTCCTTTGATAGTTCAGGTTTGCAACACCCTTGTAGTAGAATCTGCAAGTGTATATTTTGACCACTTTGTAGCCTTCGTTTGAAACGTCTATATCTTCACATCAAACCTAGACAGAAGCATTCTCAGAAAGTTTTCTGCGATGACTGCATTCAACTCACAGAGTTGAACAATCCTCTGATGGAGCAGTTTTGAAACCCTCTTTCTTTGGAATCTGCAAGGGGATATGTGGACCTCTTTGAAGATTTCACTGGAAACGGGATCATCTTCACATAAAAACTAAACAGAAGCATTCTCGGAAACTACTTTGTGATGTTTGTATTCAACTCCCAGAGTTGAACTTTCCTTTTGAAAGAGCAGCTATGAAACACTCTTTTTCGAGAATCTGCAAGTGGACGTTTGGAGGGCTTTGAGGCCTGTGGTGGAAAAGGAAATATCTTCACACAAAAACCAGATAGAAGCATTCTCAGAAACTACTTTGTGAGGATGGCATTCAACTCATGGAGTTGAACAATCCTATTGATAGAGCAGATTGGAATCACTCTTTTTATAGAATCTGCAAATGGAGATTTGGACTGCTTTGAGGCCTACGGTAGTACAGGAAGGAACTTCATATAAAAGGCAAACGGAAGCATTCTCAGAATATTCTTTGTGATGATGGAGTTTCACTCACAGAGCTGAACATGCCTTTTGATGGAGCCGTTTCCAAATACACTTTTGGTAGAATCTGCAGGTGGATATTTGGAGCTCTCTGAGGATTTCGTTGGAAACGGGAATAATTTCCCATAACTAAACACAAACACTCTGAGAAAGTTCTTCATGATGAATGCATTTAACTCGCAGAGATGAACCTGCCTTTGAGAGTTCAGGTTCGAAACACTCTTTCTGTATAATCTGCAAGTGGATATTTGGACCACTGGGTGGCCTTCGTTCGAAACGGGTATATGTTCACGTAAAAACTAAAGAGAAGCATTCTCAGAAATTTCTGAGTGATGATTGCATTCAAGTCACACGGTTGAACCCTCCTTTTGATGGAGCAGTTTGAAACTGTCTTTTTGTAGAATCTGTAAGTGGATACGTGGACCTCTTTGAAGATTTCTTTCGAAACGGGAATATTTCCACAGAAAAACTAAACTGAAGCATTCTCAGAAACCGCTTTGTGATGTTTGTGTTCGAGCCACAGAGTTTAACATTGCTTTTCATAGAGCAGTTTTGAAATATTCTTTTCGCAGAATCTGCAAGTGGACATTTGGAGCGCTTTCAGGCCTGTGGTGGCAAAGGCCTGAAAGCCTTTTCCTTTATCTTCACAGAAAGACGAGAGAGAAGCATTGTCAGAAACTTCTTTGTGATGATTGCATTCAACTCACAGCAGTTGAAGATTCCTTTTGAAACAGCAGTTTCGAAACACTCTTTCTGTGGGATCCGCAAGGGGATATTTGGACCTCTTTGAAGGTTTCGTTGGAAACGGGATAATCTTCACCTAAAAGCTAAACGGAAGCATTCTCAGAAACTTCTTTGGGATGTTTGCATTCACCTCACAGAGTTGAACTTTCCCTTTGATAGCGCAGCTTTGACACACTTTTTCTACAATGTGCAAGTGGATATTTAGCGGGCTTGGAGGACTGTGTTGGAAAAGGAAATATCTTCTAAAAACGACATAGAAGCATTCTCAGAAACTGCTCTGTGATGATTGCATTCAACTCCCAGAGTTGAACATTCCTTTTGATAGAGCAGTTTGCAAACACTCTTTTTGTAGAATCTGCAAGTGGAGATTTGGACCGCTTTGAGGCCTGTGGTAGTGAAGGAAAGAACTTCATATAAAAACCAGACGGTAGCACTCTCAGAAAATTCTTTGTGACGATGGAGTTTAACTCAGGGAGCTGAACATTCGTTATGATGGAGCAGTTTCCAAACACACGTTTTGTAGAATCTGCGAGGGGATATTTGGACCTCTCTGAGGATTTCGTTGGAAACGGGATCAACTTCCCATGACTGAACGGAAGCAAACTCAGAACATTCTTTGTGATGTTTGTATTCAATTCACAGAGTTGAACCTTCCTTTGATAGTTCAGGTTTGCAACACCCTTGTAGTAGAATCTGCAAGTGTATATTTTGACCACTTTGTAGCCTTCGTTTGAAACGTCTATATCTTCACATCAAACCTAGACAGAAAAGCATTCTCAGAAAGTTTTCTGCGATGACTGCATTCAACTCACAGAGTTGAACAATCCTTCTGATGGAGCAGTTTTGAAACCCTCTTTCTTTGGAATCTGCAAGGGGATATGTGGACCTCTTTGAAGATTTCACTGGAAACGGGATCATCTTCACATAAAAACTAAACAGAAGCATTCTCGGAAACTACTTTGTGATGTTTGTATTCAACTCCCAGAGTTGAACTTTCCTTTTGAAAGAGCAGCTATGAAACACTCTTTTTCGAGAATCTGCAAGTGGACGTTTGGAGGGCTTTGAGGCCTGTGGTGGAAAAGGAAATATCTTCACACAAAAACCAGATAGAAGCATTCTCAGAAACTACTTTGTGAGGATGGCATTCAACTCATGGAGTTGAACAATCCTATTGATAGAGCAGATTGGAATCACTCTTTTTATAGAATCTGCAAATGGAGATTTGGACTGCTTTGAGGCCTACGGTAGTACAGGAAGGAACTTCATATAAAAGGCAAACGGAAGCATTCTCAGAATATTCTTTGTGATGATGGAGTTTCACTCACAGAGCTGAACATGCCTTTTGATGGAGCAGTTTCCAAATACACTTTTGGTAGAATCTGCAGGTGGATATTTGGAGCTCTCTGAGGATTTCGTTGGAAACGGGAATAATTTCCCATAACTAAACACAAACACTCTGAGAAAGTTCTTCATGATGAATGCATTTAACTCGCAGAGATGAACCTGCCTTTGAGAGTTCAGGTTCGAAACACTCTTTCTGTATAATCTGCAAGTGGATATTTGGACCACTGGGTGGCCTTCGTTCGAAACGGGTATATGTTCACGTAAAAACTAAAGAGAAGCATTCTCAGAAACTTCTGAGTGCTGATTGCATTCAAGTCACACGGTTGAACCCTCCTTTTGATGGAGCAGTTTTGAAACTGTCTTTTTGTAGAATCTGTAAGTGGATACGTGGACCTCTTTGAAGATTTCTTTGGAAACGGGAATATTTCCACAGAAAAACTAAACTGAAGCATTCTCAGAAACCGCTTTGTGATGTTTGTGTTCGAGCCACAGAGTTTAACATTGCTTTTCATAGAGCAGTTTTGAAATATTCTTTTGGCAGAATCTGCAAGTGGACATTTGGAGCGCTTTCAGGCCTGTGGTGGCAAAGGCCTGAAAGCCTTTTCCTTTATCTTCACAGAAAGACGAGAGAGAAGCATTGTCAGAAACTTCTTTGTGATGATTGCATTCAACTCACAGAGTTGAAGATTCCTTTTGAAACAGCAGTTTCGAAACACTCTTTCTGTGGGATCCGCAAGGGGATATTTGGACCTCTTGGAAGGTTTCGTTGGAAACGGGATAATCTTCACCTAAAAGCTAAACGGAAGCATTCTCAGAAACTTCTTTGGGATGTTTGCATTCACCTCACAGAGTTGAACTTTCCCTTTGATAGCGCAGCTTTGACACACTTTTTCTACAATGTGCAAGTGGCTATTTAGCGGGCTTGGAGGACTGTGTTGGAAAAGGAAATATCTTCTCCTAAAAACGACATAGAAGCATTCTCAGAAACTGCTCTGTGATGATTGCATTCAACTCCCAGAGTTGAACATTCCTTTTGATAGAGCAGTTTGCAAACACTCTTTTTGTAGAATCTGCAAGTGGAGATTTGGACCGCTTTGAGGTCTGTGGTAGTGAAGGAAAGAACTTCATATAAAAACCAGACGGTAGCACTCTCAGAAAATTCTTTGTGACGATGGAGTTTAACTCAGGGAGCTGAACATTCGTTATGATGGAGCAGTTTCCAAACACACGTTTTGTAGAATCTGCAAGGGGATATTTGGACCTCTCTGAGGATTTCGTTGGAAACGGGATCAACTTCCCATAACTGAACGGAAGCAAACTCAGAACATTCTTTGTGATGTTTGTATTCAACTCACATAGTTGAACCTTCCTTTGATAGTTCAGGTTTGCAACACCCTTGTAGTAGAATCTGCAAGTGTATATTTTGACCACTTTGTAGCCTTCGTTTGAAACGTCTATATCTTCACATCAAACCTAGACAGAAGCATTCTCAGAAAGTTTTCTGCGATGACTGCATTCAACTCACAGAGTTGAACAATCCTTCTGATGGAGCAGTTTTGAAACCCTCTTTCTTTGGAATCTGCAAGGGGATATGTGGACCTCTTTGAAGATTTCACTGGAAACGGGATCATCTTCACATAAAAACTAAACAGAAAGCATTCTCGGAAACTACTTTGTGATGTTTGTATTCAACTCCCAGAGTTGAACTTTCCTTTTGAAAGAGCAGCTATGAAACACTCTTTTTCGAGAATCTGCAAGTGGACGTTTGGAGGGCTTTGAGGCCTGTGGTGGAAAAGGAAATATCTTCACATAAAAACTAGATAGAGCATTCTCAGAAACAACTTTGTGAGGATGGCATTCAACTCATGGAGTTGAACAATCCTATTGATAGAGCAGATTGGAATCACTCTTTTTGTAGAATCTGCAAATGGAGATTTGGACTGCTTTGAGGCCTACGGTCGTATAGGAAGGAACTTCATATAAAAGGCAAACGGAAGCATTCTCAGAATATTCTTTGTGATGATGGAGTTTCACTCACAGAGCTGAACATGCCTTTTGATGGAGCAGTTTCCAAATACACTTTTGGTAGAATCTGCAGGTGGATATTTGGACCTCTCTGAGGATTTCGTTGGAAACGGGAATAATTTCCCATAACTAAACACAAACACTCTGAGAAAGTTCTTCATGATGAATGCATTTAACTCGCAGAGATGAACCTGCCTTTGAGAGTTCAGGTTCGAAACACTCTTTCTGTAGAATCTGCAAGTGGATATTTGGACCACTGGCTGGCCTTCGTTCGAAACGGGTATATGTTCACGTAAAAACTAAAGAGAAGCATTCTCAGAAACTTCTGAGTGATGATTGCATTCAAGTCACACAGTTGAACCCTCCTTTTGATGGAGCAGTTTTGAAACTGTCTTTTTGTAGAATCTGTAAGTGGATACGTGGACCCCCTTTGAAGATTTCTTTGGAAACGGGAATATTTCCACAGAAAAACTAAACTGAAGCATTCTCAGAAACCGCTTTGTGATGTTTGTGTTCGAGCCGCAGAGTTTAACATTGCTTTTCATAGAGCAGTTTTGAAATATTCTTTTCGCAGAATCTGCAAGTGGACATTTGGAGCGCTTTCAGGCCTGTGGTGGAAAAGGCCTGAAAGCCTTTTCCTTTATCTTCACAGAAAGACGAGAGAGAAGCATTGTCAGAAACTTCTTTGTGATGATTGCATTCAACTCACAGAGTTGAAGATTCCTTTTGAAACAGCAGTTTCGAAACACTCTTTCTGTGGGATCCGCAAGGGGATATTTGGACCTCTTTGAAGGTTTCGTTGGAAACGGGATAATCTTCACCTAAAAGCTAAACGGAAGCATTCTCAGAAACTTCTTTGGGATGTTTGCATTCACCTCACAGAGTTGAACTTTCCCTTTGATAGCGCAGCTTCGACACACTTTTTCTACAATGTGCAAGTGGCTATTTAGCGGGCTTGGAGGACTGTGTTGGAAAAGGAAATATCTTCTCCTAAAAACGACATAGAAGCATTCTCAGAAACTGCTCTGTGATGATTGCATTCAACTCCCAGAGTTGAACATTCCTTTTGATAGAGCAGTTTGCAAACACTCTTTTTGTAGAATCTGGAAGTGGAGATTTGGACCGCTTTGAGGCCTGGGGTAGTGAAGGAAAGAACTTCATATAAAAACCAGACGGTAGCACTCTCAGAAAATTCTTTGTGACGATGGAGTTTAACTCAGGGAGCTGAACATTCGTTATGATGGAGCAGTTTCCAAACACACTTTTTGTAGAATCTGCAAGGGGATATTTGGGCCTCTCTGAGGATTTCGTTGGAAACGGGATCAACTTCCCATAACTGAACGGAAGCAAACTCAGAACATTCTTTGTGATGTTTGTATTCAACTCACAGAGTTGAACCTTCCTTTGATAGTTCAGGTTTGCAACACCCTTGTAGTAGAATCTGCAAGTGTATATTTTGACCACTTTGTAGCCTTCGTTTGAAACGTCTATATCTTCACATCAAACCTAGACAGAAGCATTCTCAGAAAGTTTTCTGCGATGACTGCATTCAACTCACAGAGTTGAACAATCCTTCTGATGGAGCAGTTTTGAAACCCTCTTTCTTTGGAATCTGCAAGGGGATATGTGGACCTCTTTGAAGATTTCACTGGAAACGGGATCATCTTCACATAAAAACTAAACAGAAGCATTCTCGGAAACTACTTTGTGATGTTTGTATTCAACTCCCAGAGTTGAACTTTCCTTTTGAAAGAGCAGCTATGAAACACTCCTTTTCGAGAATCTGCAAGTGGACGTTTGGAGGGCTTTGAGGCCTGTGGTGGAAAAGGAAATATCTTCACATAAAAACTAGATAGAAGCATTCTCAGAAACGACTTTGTGAGGATGGCATTCAACTCATGGAGTTGAACAATCCTATTGATAGAGCAGATTGGAATCACTCTTTTTGTAGAATCTGCAAATGGAGATTTGGACTGCTTTGAGGCCTACGGTCGTATAGGAAGGAACTTCAGATAAAAGGCAAACGGAAGCATTCTCAGAATATTCTTTGTGATGATGGAGTTTCACTCACAGAGCTGAACATGCCTTTTGATGGAGCAGTTTCCAAATACACTTTTGGTAGAATCTGCAGGTGGATATTTGGAGCTCTCTGAGGATTTCGTTGGAAACGGGAATAATTTCCCATAACTAAACACAAACACTCTGAGAAAGTTCTTCATGATGAATGCATTTAACTCGCAGAGATGAACCTGCCTTTGAGAGTTCAGGTTCGAAACACTCTTTCTGTATAATCTGCAAGTGGATATTTGGACCACTGGGTGGCCTTCGTTCGAAACGGGTATATGTTCACGTAAAAACTAAAGAGAAGCATTCTCAGAAACTTCTGAGTGATGATTGCATTCAAGTCACACAGTTGAACCCTCCTTTTGATGGAGCAGTTTTGAAACTGTCTTTTTGTAGAATCTGTAAGTGGATACGTGGACCTCTTTGAAGATTTCTTTGGAAACGGGAATATTTCCACAGAAAAACTAAACTGAAGCATTCTCAGAAACCGCTTTGTGATGTTTGTGTTCGAGCCACAGAGTTTAACATTGCTTTTCATAGAGCAGTTTTGAAATATTCTTTTGGCAGAATCTGCAAGTGGACATTTGGAGCGCTTTCAGGCCTGTGGTGGCAAAGGCCTGAAAGCCTTTTCCTTTATCTTCACAGAAAGACGAGAGAGAAGCATTGTCAGAAACTTCTTTGTGATGATTGCATTCAACTCACAGAGTTGAAGATTCCTTTTGAAACAGCAGTTTCGAAACACTCTTTCTGTGGGATCCGCAAGGGGATATTTGGACCTCTTTGAAGGTTTCGTTGGAAACGGGATAATCTTCACCTAAAAGCTAAACGGAAGCATTCTCAGAAACTTCTTTGGGATGTTTGCATTCACCTCACAGAGTTGAACTTTCCCTTTGATAGCGCAGCTTTGACACACTTTTTCTACAATGTGCAAGTGGCTATTTAGCGGGCTTGGAGGACTGTGTTGGAAAAGGAAATATCTTCTCCTAAAAACGACATAGAAGCATTCTCAGAAACTGCTCTGTGATGATTGCATTCAACTCCCAGAGTTGAACATTCCTTTTGATAGAGCAGTTTGCAAACACTCTTTTTGTAGAATCTGCAAGTGGAGATTTGGACCGCTTTGAGGCCTGTGGTAGTGAAGGAAAGAACTTCATATAAAAACCAGACGGTAGCACTCTCAGAAAATTCTTTGTGACGATGGAGTTTAACTCAGGGAGCTGAACATTCGTTATGATGGAGCAGTTTCCAAACACACGTTTTGTAGAATCTGCGAGGGGATATTTGGACCTCTCTGAGGATTTCGTTGGAAACGGGATCAACTTCCCATAACTGAACGGAAGCAAACTCAGAACATTCTTTGTGATGTTTGTATTCAATTCACAGAGTTGAACCTTCCTTTGATAGTTCAGGTTTGCAACACCCTTGTAGTAGAATCTGCAAGTGTATATTTTGACCACTTTGTAGCCTTCGTTTGAAACGTCTATATCTTCACATCAAACCTAGACAGAAGCATTCTCAGAAAGTTTTCTGCGATGACTGCATTCAACTCACAGAGTTGAACAATCCTTCTGATGGAGCAGTTTTGAAACCCTCTTTCTTTGGAATCTGCAAGGGGATATGTGGACCTCTTTGAAGATTTCACTGGAAACGGGATCATCTTCACATAAAAACTAAACAGAAGCATTCTCGGAAACTACTTTGTGATGTTTGTATTCAACTCCCAGAGTTGAACTTTCCTTTTGAAAGAGCAGCTATGAAACACTCTTTTTCGAGAATCTGCAAGTGGACGTTTGGAGGGCTTTGAGGCCTGTGGTGGAAAAGGAAATATCTTCACATAAAAACTAGATAGAAGCATTCTCAGAAACTACTTTGTGAGGATGGCATTCAACTCATGGAGTTGAACAATCCTATTGATACAGCAGATTGGAATCACTCTTTTTGTAGAATCTGCAAATGGAGATTTGGACTGCTTTGAGGCCTACGGTAGTACAGGAAGGAACTTCATATAAAAGGCAAACGGAAGCATTCTCAGAATATTCTTTGTGATGATGGAGTTTCACTCACAGAGCTGAACATGCCTTTTGATGGAGCAGTTTCCAAATACACTTTTGGTAGAATCTGCAGGTGGACATTTGGACCACTCTGAGGATTTCGTTGGAAACGGGAATAATTTCCCATAACTAAACACAAACACTCTGAGAAAGTTCTTCATGATGAATGCATTTAACTCGCAGAGATGAACCTGCCTTTGAGAGTTCAGGTTCGAAACACTCTTTCTGTAGAATCTGCAAGTGGATATTTGGACCACTGGGTGGCCTTCGTTCGAAACGGGTATATGTTCACGTAAAAACTAAAGAGAAGCATTCTCAGAAACTTCTGAGTGATGATTGCATTCAAGTCACACAGTTGAACCCTCCTTTTGATGGAGCAGTTTTGAAACTGTCTTTTTGTAGAATCTGTAAGTGGATACGTGGACCTCTTTGAAGATTTCTTTGGAAACGGGAATATTTCCACAGAAAAACTAAACTGAAGCATTCTCAGAAACCGCTTTGTGATGTTTGTGTTCGAGCCACAGAGTTTACCATTGCTTTTCATAGAGCAGTTTTGAAATATTCTTTTCGCAGAATCTGCAAGTGGACATTTGGAGCGCTTTCAGGCCTGTGGTGGAAGAGGCCTGAAAGCCTTTTCCTTTATCTTCACAGAAAGACGAGAGAGAAGCATTGTCAGAAACTTCTTTGTGATGATTGCATTCAACTCACAGAGTTGAAGATTCCTTTTGAAACAGCAGTTTCGAAACACTCTTTCTGTGGGATCCGCAAGGGGATATTTGGACCTCTTTGAAGGTTTCGTTGGAAACGGGATAATCTTCACCTAAAAGCTAAACGGAAGCATTCTCAGAAACTTCTTTGGGATGTTTGCATTCACCTCACAGAGTTGAACTTTCCCTTTGATAGCGCAGCTTTGACACACTTTTTCTACAATGTGCAAGTGGCTATTTAGCGGGCTTGGAGGACTGTGTTGGAAAAGGAAATATCTTCTCCTAAAAACGACATAGAAGCATTCTCAGAAACTGCTCTGTGATGATTGCATTCAACTCCCAGAGTTGAACATTCCTTTTGATAGAGCAGTTTGCAAACACTCTTTTTGTAGAATCTGCAAGTGGAGATTTGGACCGCTTTGAGGCCTGTGGTAGTGAAGGAAAGAACTTCATATAAAAACCAGACGGTAGCACTCTCAGAAAATTCTTTGTGACGATGGAGTTTAACTCAGGGAGCTGAACATTCGTTATGATGGAGCAGTTTCCAAACACACGTTTTGTAGAATCTGCGAGGGGATATTTGGACCTCTCTGAGGATTTCGTTGGAAACGGGATCAACTTCCCATAACTGAACGGAAGCAAACTCAGAACATTCTTTGTGATGTTTGTATTCAATTCACAGAGTTGAAACTTCCTTTGATAGTTCAGGTTTGCAACACCCTTGTAGTAGAATCTGCAAGTGTATATTTTGACCACTTTGTAGCCTTCGTTTGAAACGTCTATATCTTCACATCAAACCTAGACAGAAGCATTCTCAGAAAGTTTTCTGCGATGACTGCATTCAACTCACAGAGTTGAACAATCCTTCTGATGGAGCAGTTTTGAAACCCTCTTTCTTTGGAATCTGCAAGGGGATATGTGGACCTCTTTGAAGATTTCACTGGAAACGGGATCATCTTCACATAAAAACTAAACAGAAGCATTCTCGGAAACTACTTTGTGATGTTTGTATTCAACTCCCAGAGTTGAACTTTCCTTTTGAAAGAGCAGCTATGAAACACTCTTTTTCGAGAATCTGCAAGTGGACGTTTGGAGGGATTAGAGGCCTGCGGTGGAAAAGGAAATATCTTCACATAAAAACTAGATAGAAGCATTCTCAGAAACGACTTTGTGAGGATGGCATTCAACTCATGGAGTTGAACAATCCTATTGATAGAGCAGATTGGAATCACTCTTTTTGTAGAATCTGCAAATGGAGATTTGGACTGCTTTGAGGCCTACGGTCGTATAGGAAGGAACTTCATATAAAAGGCAAACGGAAGCATTCTCAGAATATTCTTTGTGATGATGGAGTTTCACTCACAGAGCGGAACATGCCTTTTGATGGAGCAGTTTCCAAATACACTTTTGGTAGAATCTGCAGGTGGATATTTGGAGCTCTCTGAGGATTTCGTTGGAAACGGGAATAATTTCCCATAACTAAACACAAACACTCTGAGAAAGTTCTTCATGATGAATGCATTTAACTCGCAGAGATGAACCTGCCTTTGAGAGTTCAGGTTCGAAACACTCTTTCTGTAGAATCTGCAAGTGGATATTTGGACCACTGGGTGGCCTTCGTTCGAAACGGGTATATGTTCACGTAAAAACTAAAGAGAAGCATTCTCAGAAACTTCTGAGTGATGATTGCATTCAAGTCACACAGTTGAACCCTCCTTTTGATGGAGCAGTTTTGAAACTGTCTTTTTGTAGAATCTGTAAGTGGATACGTGGACCTCTTTGAAGATTTCTTTGGAAACGGGAATATTTCCACAGAAAAACTAAACTGAAGCATTCTCAGAAACTGCTTTGTGATGTTTGTGTTCGAGCCACAGAGTTTAACATTGCTTTTCATAGAGCAGTTTTGAAATATTCTTTTGGCAGAATCTGCAAGTGGACATTTGGAGCGCTTTCAGGCCTGTGGTGGAAAAGGCCTGAAAGCCTTTTCCTTTATGTTCACAGAAAGACGAGAGAGAAGCATTGTCAGAAACTTCTTTGTGATGATTGCATTCAACTCACAGAGTTGAAGATTCCTTTTGAAACAGCAGTTTCGAAACACTCTTTCTGTGGGATCCGCAAGGGGATATTTGGACCTCTTTGAAGGTTTCGTTGGAAACGGGATAATCTTCACCTAAAAGCTAAACGGAAGCATTCTCAGAAACTTCTTTGGGATGTTTGCATTCACCTCACAGAGTTGAACTTTCCCTTTGATAGCGCAGCTTTGACACACTTTTTCTACAATGTGCAAGTGGCTATTTAGCGGGCTTGGAGGACTGTGTTGGAAAAGGAAATATCTTCTCCTAAAAACGACATAGAAGCATTCTCAGAAACTGCTCTGTGATGATTGCATTCAACTCCCAGAGTTGAACATTCCTTTTGATAGAGCAGTTTGCAAACACTCTTTTTGTAGAATCTGCAAGTGGAGATTTGGACCGCTTTGAGGCCTGTGGTAGTGAAGGAAAGAACTTCATATAAAAACCAGACGGTAGCACTCTCAGAAAATTCTTTGTGACGATGGAGTTTAACTCAGGGAGCTGAACATTCGTTATGATGGAGCAGTTTCCAAACACACGTTTTGTAGAATCTGCAAGGGGATATTTGGACCTCTCTGAGGATTTCGTTGGAAACGGGATCAACTTCCCATAACTGAACGGAAGCAAACTCAGAACATTCTTTGTGATGTTTGTATTCAACTCACAGAGTTGAACCTTCCTTTGATAGTTCAGGTTTGCAACACCCTTGTAGTAGAATCTGCAAGTGTATATTTTGACCACTTTGTAGCCTTCGTTTGAAACGTCTATATCTTCACATCAAACCTAGACAGAAGCATTCTCAGAAAGTTTTCTGCGATGACTGCATTCAACTCACAGAGTTGAACAATCCTTCTGATGGAGCAGTTTTGAAACCCTCTTTCTTTGGAATCTGCAAGGGGATATGTGGACCTCTTTGAAGATTTCACTGGAAACGGGATCATCTTCACATAAAAACTAAACAGAAGCATTCTCGGAAACTACTTTGTGATGTTTGTATTCAACTCCCAGAGTTGAACTTTCCTTTTGAAAGAGCAGCTATGAAACACTCCTTTTCGAGAATCTGCAAGTGGACGTTTGGAGGGCTTTGAGGCCTGTGGTGGAAAAGGAAATATCTTCACATAAAAACTAGATAGAAGCATTCTCAGAAACGACTTTGTGAGGATGGCATTCAACTCATGGAGTTGAACAATCCTATTGATAGAGCAGATTGGAATCACTCTTTTTGTAGAATCTGCAAATGGAGATTTGGACTGCTTTGAGGCCTACGGTCGTATAGGAAGGAACTTCAGATAAAAGGCAAACGGAAGCATTCTCAGAATATTCTTTGTGATGATGGAGTTTCACTCACAGAGCTGAACATGCCTTTTGATGGAGCAGTTTCCAAATACACTTTTGGTAGAATCTGCAGGTGGATATTTGGAGCTCTCTGAGGATTTCGTTGGAAACGGGAATAATTTCCCATAACTAAACACAAACACTCTGAGAAAGTTCTTCATGATGAATGCATTTAACTCGCAGAGATGAACCTGCCTTTGAGAGTTCAGGTTCGAAACACTCTTTCTGTAGAATCTGCAAGTGGATATTTGGACCACTGGCTGGCCTTCGTTCGAAACGGGTATATGTTCACGTAAAAACTAAAGAGAAGCATTCTCAGAAACTTGTGAGTGATGATTGCATTCAAGTCACACAGTTGAACCCTCCTTTTGATGGAGCAGTTTTGAAACTGTCTTTTTGTAGATTCTGTAAGTGGATACGTGGACCTCTTTGAAGATTTCTTTGGAAACGGGAATATTTCCACAGAAAAACTAAACTGAAGCATTCTCAGAAACCGCTTTGTGATGTTTGTGTTCGAGCCACAGAGTTTAACATTGCTTTTCATAGAGCAGTTTTGAAATATTCTTTTCGCAGAATCTGCAAGTGGACATTTGGAGCGCTTTCAGGCCTGTGGTGGAAAAGGCCTGAAAGCCTTTTCCTTTATCTTCACAGAAAGACGAGAGAGAAGCATTGTCAGAAACTTCTTTGTGATGATTGCATTCAACTCACAGAGTTGAAGATTCCTTTTGAAACAGCAGTTTCGAAACACTCTTTCTGTGGGATCCGCAAGGGGATATTTGGACCTCTTTGAAGGTTTCGTTGGAAACGGGATAATCTTCACCTAAAAGCTAAACGGAAGCATTCTCAGAAACTTCTTTAGGATGTTTGCATTCACCTCACAGAGTTGAACTTTCCCTTTGATAGCGCAGCTTTGACACACTTTTTCTACAATGTGCAAGTGGCTATTTAGCGGGCTTGGAGGACTGTGTTGGAAAAGGAAATATCTTCTCCTAAAAACGACATAGAAGCATTCTCAGAAACTGCTCTGTGATGATTGCATTCAACTCCCAGAGTTGAACATTCCTTTTGATAGAGCAGTTTGCAAACACTCTTTTTGTAGAATCTGCAAGTGGAGATTTGGACCGCTTTGAGGCCTGTGGTAGTGAAGGAAAGAACTTCATATAAAAACCAGACGGTAGCAATCTCAGAAAATTCTTTGTGACGATGGAGTTTAACTCAGGGAGCTGAACATTCGTTATGATGGAGCAGTTTCCAAACACACGTTTTGTAGAATCTGCAAGGGGATATTTGGACCTCTCTGAGGATTTCGTTGGAAACGGGATCAACTTCCCATAACTGAACGGAAGCAAACTCAGAACATTCTTTGTGATGTTTGTATTCAATTCACAGAGTTGAACCTTCCTTTGATAGTTCAGGTTTGCAACACCCTTGTAGTAGAATCTGCAAGTGTATATTTTGACCACTTTGTAGCCTTCGTTTGAAACGTCTATATCTTCACATCAAACCTAGACAGAAGCATTCTCAGAAAGTTTTCTGCGATGACTGCATTCAACTCACAGAGTTGAACAATCCTATTGATGGAGCAGTTTTGAAACCCTCTTTCTTTGGAATCTGCAAGGGGATATGTGGACCTCTTTGAAGATTTCACTGGAAACGGGATCATCTTCACATAAAAACTAAACAGAAGCATTCTCGGAAACTACTTTGTGATGTTTGTATTCAACTCCCAGAGTTGAACTTTCCTTTTGAAAGAGCAGCTATGAAACACTCTTTTTCGAGAATCTGCAAGTGGACGTTTGGAGGGCTTTGAGGCCTGTGGTGGAAAAGGAAATATCTTCACATAAAAACTAGATAGAAGCATTCTCAGAAACGACTTTGTGAGGATGGCATTCAACTCATGGAGTTGAACAATCCTATTGATAGAGCAGATTGGAATCACTCTTTTTGTAGAATCTGCAAATGGAGATTTGCACTGCTTTGAGGCCTACGGTCGTATAGGAAGGAACTTCATATAAAAGGCAAACGGAAGCATTCTCAGAATATTCTTTGTGATGATGGAGTTTCACTCACAGAGCTGAACATGCCTGTTGATGGAGCAGTTTCCAAATACACTTTTGGTAGAATCTGCAGGTGGACATTTGGACCTCTCTGAGGATTTCGTTGGGAACGGGAATAATTTCCCATAACTAAACACAAACACTCTGAGAAAGTTCTTCATGATGAATGCATTTAACTCGCAGAGATGAACCTGCCTTTGAGAGTTCAGGTTCGAAACACTCTTTCTGTAGAATCTGCAAGTGGACATTTGGACCACTGGGTGGCCTTCGTTCGAAACGGGTATATGTTCACGTAAAAACTAAAGAGAAGCATTCTCAGAAACTTCTGAGTGATGATTGCATTCAAGTCACACGGTTGAACCCTCCTTTTGATGGAGCAGTTTTGAAACTGTCTTTTTGTAGAATCTGTAAGTGGATACGTGGACCTCTTTGAAGATTTCTTTGGAAACGGGAATATTTCCACAGAAAAACTAAACTGAAACATTCTCAGAAACCGCTTTGTGATTTTTGTGTTCCAGCCACAGAGTTTAACATTGCTTTTCATAGAGCAGTTTTGAAATATTCTTTTGGCAGAATCTGCAAGTGGACATTTGGAGCGCTTTCAGGCCTGTGGTGGAAAAGGCCTGAAAGCCTTTTCCTTTATCTTCACAGAAAGACGAGAGAGAAGCATTGTCAGAAACTTCTTTGTGATGATTGCATTCAACTCACAGAGTTGAAGATTCCTTTTGAAACAGCAGTTTCGAAACACTCTTTCTGTGGGATCCGCAAGGGGATATTTGGACCTCTTTGAAGGTTTCGTTGGAAACGGGATAATCTTCACCTAAAAGCTAAACGGAAGCATTCTCAGAAACTTCTTTGGGATGTTTGCATTCACCTCACAGAGTTGAACTTTCCCTTTGATAGCGCAGCTTTGACACACTTTTTCTACAATGTGCAAGTGGCTATTTAGCGGGCTTGGAGGACTGTGTTGGAAAAGGAAATATCTTCTCCTAAAAACGACATAGAAGCATTCTCAGAAACTGCTCTGTGATGATTGCATTCAACTCCCAGAGTTGAACATTCCTTTTGATAGAGCAGTTTGCAAACACTCTTTTTGTAGAATCTGCAAGTGGAGATTTGGACCGCTTTGAGGCCTGTGGTAGTGAAGGAAAGAACTTCATATAAAAACCAGACGGTAGCACTCTCAAGAAAATTCTTTGTGACGATGGAGTTTAACTCAGGGAGCTGAACATTCGTTATGATGGAGCAGTTTCCAAACACACGTTTTGTAGAATCTGCAAGGGGATATTTGGACCTCTCTGAGGATTTCGTTGGAAACGGGATCAACTTCCCATAACTGAACGGAAGCAAACTCAGAACATTCTTTGTGATGTTTGTATTCAACTCACAGAGTTGAACCTTCCTTTGATAGTTCAGGTTTGCAACACCCTTGTAGTAGAATCTGCAAGTGTATATTTTGACCACTTTGTAGCCTTCGTTTGAAACGTCTATATCTTCACATCAAACCTAGACAGAAGCATTCTCAGAAAGTTTTCTGCGATGACTGCATTCAACTCACAGAGTTGAACAATCCTTCTGATGGAGCAGTTTTGAAACCCTCTTTCTTTGGAATCTGCAAGGGGATATGTGGACCTCTTTGAAGATTTCACTGGAAACGGGATCATCTTCACATAAAAACTAAACAGGAAGCATTCTCGGAAACTACTTTGTGATGTTTGTATTCAACTCCCAGAGTTGAACTTTCCTTTTGAAAGAGCAGCTATGAAACACTCTTTTTCGAGAATCTGCAAGTGGACGTTTGGAGGGCTTTGAGGCCTGTGGTGGAAAAGGAAATATCTTCACATAAAAACTAGATAGAAGCATTCTCAGAAACTACTTTGTGAGGATGGCATTCAACACATGGAGTTGAACAATCATATTGATAGAGCAGATTGGAATCACTCTTTTTGTAGAATCTGCAAATGGAGATTTGGACTGCTTTGAGGCCTACGGTAGTATAGGAAGGAACTTCATATAAAAGGCAAACGGAAGCATTCTCAGAATATTCTTTGTGATGATGGAGTTTCACTCACAGAGCTGAACATGCCTTTTGATGGAGCAGTTTCCAAATAGACTTTTGGTAGAATCTGCAGGTGGATATTTGGAGCTCTCTGAGGATTTCGTTGGAAACGGGAATAATTTCCCATAACTAAACACAAACACGCTGAGAAAGTTCTTCATGATGAATGCATTTAACTCGCAGAGATGAACCTGCCTTTGAGAGTTCAGGTTCAAAACACTCTTTCTGTAGAATCTGCAAGTGGATATTTGGACCACTGGCTGGCCTTCGTTCGAAACGGGTATATGTTCACGTAAAAACTAAAGAGAAGCGTTCTCAGAAACTTCTGAGTGATGAATGCATTCAAGTCACACAGTTGAACCCTCCTTTTGATTGAGCAGTTTTTAAACTGTCTTTTTGTAGAATCTGTAAGTGGATGCGTGGACCTCTTTGAAGATTTCTTTGGAAACGGGAATATTTCCACAGAAAAACTAAACTGAAGCATTCTCAGAAACTGCTTTGTGATGTTTGTGTTCGAGCCACAGAGTTTAACATTGCTTTTCATAGAGCAGTTTTGAAATATTCTTTTGGCAGAATCTGCAAGTGGACATTTGGAGCGCTTTCAGGCCTGTGGTGGAAAAGGCCTGAAAGCCTTTTCCTTTATCTTCACAGGAAGACGAGAGAGAAGCATTGTCAGAAACTTCTTTGTGATGATTGCATTCAACTCACAGAGTTGAAGATTCCTTTTGAAACAGCAGTTTCGAAACACTCTTTCTGTGGGATCCGCAAGGGGATATTTGGACCTCTTTGAAGGTTTCGTTGGAAACGGGATAATCTTCACCTAAAAGCTAAACGGAAGCATTCTCAGAAACTTCTTTGGGATGTTTGCATTCACCTCACAGAGTTGAACTTTCCCTTTGATAGCGCAGCTTTGACACACTTTTTCTACAATGTGCAAGTGGCTATTTAGCAGGCTTGGAGGATTGTGTTGGAAAAGGAAATATCTTCTCCTAAAAACGACATAGAAGCATTCTCAGAAACTGCTCTGTGATGATTGCATTCAACTCCCAGAGTTGAACATTCCTTTTGATAGAGCAGTTTGCAAACACTCTTTTTGTAGAATCTGCAAGTGGAGATTTGGACCGCTTTGAGGTCTGTGGTAGTGAAGGAAAGAGCTTCATATAAAAACCAGACGGTAGCACTCTCAGAAAATTCTTTGTGACGATGGAGTTTAACTCAGGGAGCTGAACATTCGTTATGATGGAGCAGTTTCCAAACACACGTTTTGTAGAATCTGCAAGGGGATATTTGGACCTCTCTGAGGATTTCGTTGGAAACGGGATCAACTTCCCATAACTGAACGGAAGCAAACTCAGAACATTCTTTGTGATGTTTGTATTCAACTCACAGAGTTGAACCTTCCTTTGATAGTTCAGGTTTGCAACACCCTTGTAGTAGAATCTGCAAGTGTATATTTTGACCACTTTGTAGCCTTCGTTTGAAACGTCTATATCTTCACATCAAACCTAGACAGAAGCATTCTCAGAAAGTTTTCTGCGATGACTGCATTCAACTCACAGAGTTGAACAATCCTTCTGATGGAGCAGTTTTGAAACCCTCTTTCTTTGGAATCTGCAAGGGGATATGTGGACCTCTTTGAAGATTTCACTGGAAACGGGATCATCTTCACATAAAAACTAAACAGAAGCATTCTCAGAAACTACTTTGTGATGTTTGTATTCAACTCCCAGAGTTGAACTTTCCTTCTGAAAGAGCAGCTATGAAACACTCTTTTTCGAGAATCTGCAAGTGGACGTTTGGAGGGCTTTGAGGCCTGTGGTGGAAAAGGAAATATCTTCACATAAAAACTAGATAGAAGCATTCTCAGAAACGACTTTGTGAGGATGGCATTCAACTCATGGAGTTGAACAATCCTATTGATAGAGCAGATTGGAATCACTCTTTTTGTAGAATCTGCAAATGGAGATTTGGACTGCTTTGAGGCCTACGGTCGTATAGGAAGGAACTTCATATAAAAGGCAAACGGAAGCATTCTCAGAATATTCTTTGTGATGATGGAGTTTCACTCACAGAGCTGAACATGCCTGTTGATGGAGCAGTTTCCAAATACACTTTTGGTAGAATCTGCAGGTGGATATTTGGAGCTCTCTGAGGATTTCGTTGGAAACGGGAATAATTTCCCATAACTAAACACAAACACGCTGAGAAAGTTCTTCATGACGAATGCATTTAACTCGCAGAGATGAACCTGCCTTTGAGAGTTCAGGTTCGAAACACTCTTTCTGTAGAATCTGCAAGTGGATATTTGGACCACTGGGTGGCCTTCGTTCGAAACGGGTATATGTTCACGTAAAAACTAAAGAGAAGCATTCTCAGAAACTTCTGAGTGATGATTGCATTCAAGTCACACAGTTGAACCCTCCTTTTGATTGAGCAGTTTTGAAACTGTCTTTTTGTAGAATCTGTAAGTGGATACGTGGACCTCTTTGAAGATTTCTTTGGAAACGGGAATATTTCCACAGAAAAACTAAACTGAAGCATTCTCAGAAACTGTTTTGTGATGTTTGTGTTCGAGCCGCAGAGTTTAACATTGCTTTTCATAGAGCAGTTTTGAAATATTCTTTTGGCAGAATCTGCAAGTGGACATTTGGAGCGCTTTCAGGCCTGTGGTGGAAAAGACCTGAAAGCCTTTTCCTTTATCTTCACAGAAAGACGAGAGAGAAGCATTGTCAGAAACTTCTTTGTGATGATTGCATTCAACTCACAGAGTTGAAGATTCCTTTTGAAACAGCAGTTTCGAAACACTCTTTCTGTGGGATCCGCAAGGGGATATTTGGACCTCTTTGAAGGTTTCGTTGGAAACGGGATAATCTTCACCTAAAAGCTAAACGGAAGCATTCTCAGAAACTTCTTTGGGATGTTTGCATTCACCTCACAGAGTTGAACTTTCCCTTTGATAGCGCAGCTTTGACACACTTTTTCTACAATGTGCAAGTGGCTATTTAGCGGGCTTGGAGGACTGTGTTGGAAAAGGAAATATCTTCTCCTAAAAACGACATAGAAGCATTCTCAGAAACTGCTCTGTGATGATTGCATTCAACTCCCAGAGTTGAACATTCCTTTTGATAGAGCAGTTTGCAAACACTCTTTTTGTAGAATCTGCAAGTGGAGATTTGGACCGCTTTGAGGCCTGTGGTAGTGAAGGAAAGAACTTCATATAAAAACCAGACGGTAGCACTCTCAGAAAATTCTTTGTGACGATGGAGTTTAACTCAGGGAGCTGAACATTCGTTATGATGGAGCAGTTTCCAAACACACGTTTTGTAGAATCTGCGAGGGGATATTTGGACCTCTCTGAGGATTTCGTTGGAAACGGGATCAACTTCCCATAACTGAACGGAAGCAAACTCAGAACATTCTTTGTGATATTTGTATTCAATTCACAGAGTTGAACCTTCCTTTGATAGTTCAGGTTTGCAACACCCTTGTAGTAGAATCTGCAAGTGTATATTTTGACCACTTTGTAGCCTTCGTTTGAAACGTCTATATCTTCACATCAAACCTAGACAGAAGCATTCTCAGAAAGTTTTCTGCGATGACTGCATTCAACTCACAGAGTTGAACAATCCTTCTGATGGAGCAGTTTTGAAACCCTCTTTCTTTGGAATCTGCAAGGGGATATGTGGACCTCTTTGAAGATTTCACTGGAAACGGGATCATCTTCACATAAAAACTAAACAGAAGCATTCTCGGAAACTACTTTGTGATGTTTGTATTCAACTCCCAGAGTTGAACTTTCCTTTTGAAAGAGCAGCTATGAAACTCTCTTTTTCGAGAATCTGCAAGTGGACGTTTGGAGGGCTTTGAGGCCTGTGGTGGAAAAGGAAATATCTTCACATAAAAACTAGATAGAAGCATTCTCAGAAACGACTTTGTGAGGATGGCATTCAACTCATGGAGTTGAACAATCCTATTGATACAGCAGATTGGAATCACTCTTTTTGTAGAATCTGCAAATGGAGATTTGGACTGCTTTGAGGCCTACGGTAGTACAGGAAGGAACTTCATATAAAAGGCAAACGGAAGCATTCTCAGAATATTCTTTGTGATGATGGAGTTTCACTCACAGAGCTGAACATGCCTTTTGATGGAGCAGTTTCCAAATACACTTTTGGTAGAATCTGCAGGTGGATATTTGGACCTCTCTGAGGATTTCGTTGGAAACGGGAATAATTTCCCATAACTAAACACAAACACTCTGAGAAAGTTCTTCATGATGAATGCATTTAACTCGCAGAGATGAACCTGCCTTTGAGAGTTCAGGTTCGAAACACTCTTTCTGTATAATCTGCAAGTGGATATTTGGACCACTGGGTGGCCTTCGTTCGAAACGGGTATATGTTCACGTAAAAACTAAAGAGAAGCATTCTCAGAAACTTCTGAGTGATGATTGCATTCAAGTCACACAGTTGAACCCTCCTTTTGATGGAGCAGTTTTGAAACTGTCTTTTTGTAGAATCTGTAAGTGGATACGTGGACCTCTTTGAAGATTTCTTTGGAAACGGGAATATTTCCACAGAAAAACTAAACTGAAACATTCTCAGAAACTGCTTTGTGATGTTTGTGTTCCAGCCACAGAGTTTAACATTGCTTTTCATAGAGCAGTTTTGAAATATTCTTTTCGCAGAATCTGCAAGTGGACATTTGGAGCGCTTTCAGGCCTGTGGTGGAAAAGGCCTGAAAGCCTTTTCCTTTATCTTCACAGAAAGACGAGAGAGAAGCATTGTCAGAAACTTCTTTGTGATGATTGCATTCAACTCACAGAGTTGAAGATTCCTTTTGAAACAGCAGTTTCGAAACACTCTTTCTGTGGGATCCGCAAGGGGATATTTGGACCTCTTTGAAGATTTCGTTGGAAACGGGATAATCTTCACCTAAAAGCTAAACGGAAGCATTCTCAGAAACTTCTTTGGGATGTTTGCATTCACCTCACAGAGTTGAACTTTCCCTTTGATAGCGCAGCTTTGACACACTTTTTCTACAATGTGCAAGTGGCTATTTAGCGGGCTTGGAGGACTGTGTTGGAAAAGGAAATATCTTCTCCTAAAAACGACATAGAAGCATTCTCAGAAACTGCTCTGTGACGATTGCATTCAACTCCCAGAGTTGAACATTCCTTTTGATAGAGCAGTTTGCAAACACTCTTTTTGTAGAATCTGCAAGTGGAGATTTGGACCGCTTTGAGGCCTGTGGTAGTGAAGGAAAGAAATTCATATAAAAACCAGACGGTAGTACTCTCAGAAAATTCTTTGTGACGATGGAGTTTAACTCAGGGAGCTGAACATTCGTTATGATGGAGCAGTTTCCAAACACACGTTTTGTAGAATCTGCAAGGGGATATTTGGACCTCTCTGAGGATTTCGTTGGAAACGGGATCAACTTCCCATAACTGAACGGAAGCAAACTCAGAACATTCTTTGTGATGTTTGTATTCAACTCACGGAGTTGAACCTTCCTTTGATAGTTCAGGTTTGCAACACCCTTGTAGTAGAATCTGCAAGTGTATATTTTGAACACTTTGTAGCCTTCGTTTGAAACGTCTATATCTTCACATCAAACCTAGACAGAAGCATTCTCAGAAAGTTTTCTGCGATGACTGCATTCAACTCACAGAGTTGAACAATCCTTCTGATGGAGCAGTTTTGAAACCCTCTTTCTTTGGAATCTGCAAGGGGATATGTGGACCTCTTTGAAGATTTCACTGGAAACGGGATCATCTTCACATAAAAACTAAACAGAAGCATTCTCGGAAACTACTTTGTGATGTTTGTATTCAACTCCTAGAGTTGAACTTTCCTTTTGAAAGAGCAGCTATGAAACACTCTTTTTCGAGAATCTGCAAGTGGACGTTTGGAGGGCTTTGAGGCCTGTGGTGGAAAAGGAAATATCTTCACACAAAAACCAGATAGAAGCTTTCTCAGAAACGACTTTGTGAGGATGGCATTCAACTCATGGAGTTGAACAATCCTATTGGTAGAGCAGATTGGAATCACTCTTTTTGTAGAATCTGCAAATGGAGATTTGGACTGCTTTGAGGCCTACGGTAGTATAGGAAGGAACTTCATATAAAAGGCAAACGGAAGCATTCTCAGAATATTCTTTGTGATGATGGAGTTTCACTCACAGAGCTGAACATGCCTTTTGATGGAGCAGTTTCCAAATACACTTTTGGTAGAATCTGCAGGTGGATATTTGGAGCTCTCTGAGGATTTCGTTGGAAACGGGAATAATTTCCCATAACTAAACACAAACACTCTGAGAAAGTTCTTCATGATGAATGCATTTAACTCGCAGAGATGAACCTGCCTTTGAGAGTTCAGGTTCGAAACACTCTTTCTGTAGAATCTGCAAGTGGATATTTGGACCACTGGTTGGCCTTCGTTCGAAACGGGTATATGTTCACGTAAAAACTAAAGAGAAGCATTCTCAGAAACTTCTGAGTGATGATTGCATTCAAGTCACACAGTTGAACCCTCCTTTTGATGGAGCAGTTTTGAAACTGTCTTTTTGTAGAATCTGTAAGTGGATACGTGGACCTCTTTGAAGATTTCTTTGGAAACGGGAATATTTCCACAGAAAAACTAAACTGAAGCATTCTCAGAAACCGCTTTGTGATGTTTGTGTTCGAGCCACAGAGTTTAACATTGCTTTTCATAGAGCAGTTTTGAAATATTCTTTTCGCAGAATCTGCAAGTGGACATTTGGAGCGCTTTCAGGCCTGTGGTGGAAAAGGCCTGAAAGCCTTTTCCTTTATCTTCACAGAAAGACGAGAGAGAAAGCATTGTCAGAAACTTCTTTGTGATGATTGCATTCAACTCACAGTAGTTGAAGATTCCTTTTGAAACAGCAGTTTCGAAACACTCTTTCTGTGGGATCCGCAAGGGGATATTTGGACCTCTTTGAAGGTTTCGTTGGAAACGGGATAATCTTCACCTAAAAGCTAAACGGAAGCATTCTCAGAAACTTCTTTGGGATGTTTGCATTCACCTCACAGAGTTGAACTTTCCCTTTGATAGCGCAGCTTTGACACACTTTTTCTACAATGTGCAAGTGGCTATTTAGCGGACTTGGAGGACTGTGTTGGAAAAGGAAATATCTTCTCCTAAAAACGACATAGAAGCATTCTCAGAAACTGCTCTGTGATGATTGCATTCAACTCCCAGAGTTGAACATTCCTTTTGATAGAGCAGTTTGCAAACACTCTTTTTGTAGAATCTGCAAGTGGAGATTTGGACCGCTTTGAGGCCTGTGGTAGTGAAGGAAAGAACTTCATATAAAAACCAGACGGTAGCACTCTCAGAAAATTCTTTGTGACGATGGAGTTTAACTCAGGGAGCTGAACATTCGTTATGATGGAGCAGTTTCCAAACACACGTTTTGTAGAATCTGCAAGGGGATATTTGGACCTCTCTGAGGATTTCGTTGGAAACGGGATCAACTTCCCATAACTGAACGGAAGCAAACTCAGAACATTCTTTGTGATGTTTGTATTCAACTCACAGAGTTGAACCTTCCTTTGATAGTTCAGGTTTGCAACACCCTTGTAGTAGAATCTGCAAGTGTATATTTTGACCACTTTGTAGCCTTCGTTTGAAACGTCTATATCTTCACATCAAACCTAGAAAGAAGCATTCTCAGAAAGTTTTCTGCGATGACTGCATTCCACTCACAGAGTTGAACAATCCTTCTGATGGAGCAGTTTTGAAACCCTCTTTCTTTGGAATCTGCAAGGGGATATGTGGACCTCTTTGAAGATTTCACTGGAAACGGGATCATCTTCACATAAAAACTAAACAGAAGCATTCTCGGAAACTACTTTGTGATGTTTGTATTCAACTCCCAGAGTTGAACTTTCCTTTTGAAAGAGCAGCTATGAAACACTCTTTTTCGAGAATCTGCAAGTGGACGTTTGGAGGGCTTTGAGGCCTGTGGTGGAAAAGGAAATATCTTCACATAAAAACTAGATAGAAGCATTCTCAGAAACGACTTTGTGAGCATGGCATTCAACTCATGGAGTTGAACAATCCTATTGATAGAGCAGATTGGAATCACTCTTTTTGTAGAATCTGCAAATGGAGATTTGGACTGCTTTGAGGCCTACGGTCGTATAGGAAGGAACTTCATATAAAAGGCAAACGGAAGCATTCTCAGAATATTCTTTGTGATGATGGAGTTTCACTCACAGAGCTGAACATACCTTTTGATGGAGCAGTTTCCAAATACACTTTTGGTAGAATCTGCAGGTGGATATTTGGAGCTCTCTGAGGATTTCGTTGGAAACGGGAATAATTTCCCATAACTAAACACAAACACTCTGAGAAAGTTCTTCATGATGAATGCATTTAACTCGCAGAGATGAACCTGCCTTTGAGAGTTCAGGTTCGAAACACTCTTTCTGTATAATCTGCAAGTGGATATTTGGACCACTGGGTGGCCTTCGTTCGAAACGGGTATATGTTCACGTAAAAACTAAAGAGAAGCATTCTCAGAAACTTCTGAGTGATGATTGCATTCAAGTCACACAGTTGAACCCTCCTATTGATGGAGCAGTTTTGAAACTGTCTTTTTGTAGAATCTGTAAGTGGATACGTGGACCTCTTTGAAGATTTCTTTGGAAACGGGAATATTTCCACAGAAAAACTAAACTGAAGCATTCTCAGAAACCGCTTTGTGATGTTTGTGTTCGAGCCACAGAGTTTAACATTGCTTTTCATAGAGCAGTTTTGAAATATTCTTTTCGCAGAATCTGCAAGTGGACATTTGGAGCGCTTTCAGGCCTGTGGTGGCAAAGGCCTGAAAGCCTTTTCCTTTATCTTCACAGAAAGACGAGAGAGAAGCATTGTCAGAAACTTCTTTGTGATGATTGCATTCAACTCACAGAGTTGAAGATTCCTTTTGAAACAGCAGTTTCGAAACACTCTTTCTGTGGGATCCGCAAGGGGATATTTGGACCTCTTTGAAGATTTCGTTGGAAACGGGATAATCTTCACCTAAAAGCTAAACGGAAGCATTCTCAGAAACTTCTTTGGGATGTTTGCATTCACCTCACAGAGTTGAACTTTCCCTTTGATAGCGCAGCTTTGACACACTTTTTCTACAATGTGCAAGTGGCTATTTAGCGGGCTTGGAGGATTGTGTTGGAAAAGGAAATATCTTCTCCTAAAAACGACATAGAAGCATTCTCAGAAACTGCTCTGTGATGATTGCATTCAACTCCCAGAGTTGAACATTCCTTTTGATAGAGCAGTTTGCAAACACTCTTTTTGTAGAATCTGCAAGTGGAGATTTGGACCGCTTTGAGGCCTGTGGTAGTGAAGGAAAGAACTTCATATAAAAACCAGACGGTAGCACTCTCAGAAAATTCTTTGTGACGATGGAGTTTAACTCAGGGAGCTGAACATTCGTTATGATGGAGCAGTTTCCAAACACACGTTTTGTAGAATCTGCAAGGGGATATTTGGACCTCTCTGAGGATTTCGTTGGAAACGGGATCAACTTCCCATAACTGAACGGAAGCAAACTCAGAACATTCTTTGTGATGTTTGTATTCAACTCACAGAGTTGAACCTTCCTTTGATAGTTCAGGTTTGCAACACCCTTGTAGTAGAATCTGCAAGTGTATATTTTGACCACTTTGTAGCCTTCGTTTGAAACGTCTATATCTTCACATCAAACCTAGACAGAAGCATTCTCAGAAAGTTTTCTGCGATGACTGCATTCAACTCACAGAGTTGAACAATCCTTCTGATGGAGCAGTTTTGAAACCCTCTTTCTTTGGAATCTGCAAGGGGATATGTGGACCTCTTTGAAGATTTAACTGGAAACGGGATCATCTTCACATAAAAACTAAACAGAAGCATTCTCGGAAACTATTTTGTGATGTTTGTATTCAACTCCCCAGAGTTGAACTTTCCTTTTGAAAGAGCAGCTATGAAACACTCTTTTTCGAGAATCTGCAAGTGGACGTTTGGAGGGCTTTGAGGCCTGTGGTGGAAAAGGAAATATCTTCACACAAAAACCAGATAGAAGCATTCTCAGAAACGACTTTGTGAGGATGGCATTCAACTCATGGAGTTGAACAATCCTATTGATAGAGCAGATTGGAATCACTCTTTTTGTAGAATCTGCAAATGGAGATTTGGACTGCTTTGAGGCCTACGGTAGTACAGGAAGGAACTTCATATAAAAGGCAAACGGAAGCATTCTCAGAATATTCTTTGTGATGATGGAGTTTCACTGACAGAGCTGAACATGCCTTTTGATGGAGCAGTTTCCAAATACACTTTTGGTAGAATCTGCAGGTGGATATTTGGAGCTCTCTGAGGATTTCGTTGGAAACGGGAATAATTTCCCATAACTAAACACAAACACTCTGAGAAAGTTCTTCATGATGAATGCATTTAACTCGCAGAGATGAACCTGCCTTTGAGAGTTCAGGTTCGAAACACTCTTTCTGTAGAATCTGCAAGTGGATATTTGGACCACTGGGTGGCCTTCGTTCGAAACGGGTATATGTTCACGTAAAAACTAAAGAGAAGCATTCTCAGAAACTTCTGAGTGATGATTGCATTCAAGTCACACAGTTGAACCCTCCTTTTGATGGAGCAGTTTTGAAACTGTCTTTTTGTAGAATCTGTAAGTGGATACGTGGACCTCTTTGAAGATTTCTTTGGAAACGGGAATATTTCCACAGAAAAACTAAACTGAAGCATTCTCAGAAACTGCTTTGTGATGTTTGTGTTCGAGCCACAGAGTTTAACATTGCTTTTCATAGAGCAGTTTTGAAATATTCTTTTGGCAGAATCTGCAAGTGGACATTTGGAGCGCTTTCAGGCCTGTGGTGGAAAAGGCCTGAAAGCCTTTTCCTTTATCTTCACAGAAAGACGAGAGAGAAGCATTGTCAGAAACTTCTTTGTGATGATTGCATTCAACTCACAGAGTTGAAGATTCCTTTTGAAACAGCAGTTTCGAAACACTCTTTCTGTGGGATCCGCAAGGGGATATTTGGACCTCTTTGAAGGTTTCGTTGGAAACGGGATAATCTTCACCTAAAAGCTAAACGGAAGTATTCTCAGAAACTTCTTTGGGATGTTTGCATTCACCTCACAGAGTTGAACTTTCCCTTTGATAGCGCAGCTTCGACACACTTTTTCTACAATGTGCAAGTGGATATTTAGCGGGCTTGGAGGACTGTGTTGGAAACGGAAATATCTTCTCCTAAAAACGACATAGAAGCATTCTCAGAAACTGCTCTGTGATGATTGCTTTCAACTCCCAGAGTTGAACATTCCTTTTGATAGAGCAGTTTGCAAACACTCTTTTTGTAGAATCTGCAAGTGGAGATTTGGACCGCTTTGAGGCCTGTGGTAGTAAAGGAAAGAACTTCATATAAAAACTAGACGGTAGCACTCTCAGAAAATTCTTTGTGACGATGGAGTTTAACTCAGGGAGCTGAACATTCGTTATGATGGAGCAGTTTCCAAACACACGTTTTGTAGAATCTGCAAGGGGATATTTGGACCTCTCTGAGGATTTCGTTGGAAACGGGATCAACTTCCCATAACTGAACGGAAGCAAACTCAGAACATTCTTTGTGATGTTTGTATTCAACTCACAGAGTTGAACCTTCCTTTGATAGTTCAGGTTTGCAACACCCTTGTAGTAGAATCTGCAAGTGTATATTTTGACCACTTTGTAGCCTTCGTTTGAAACGTCTATATCTTCACATCAAACCTAGACAGAAGCATTCTCAGAAAGTTTTCTGCGATGACTGCATTCAACTCACAGAGTTGAACAATCCTTCTGATGGAGCAGTTTTGAAACCCTCTTTCTTTGGAATCTGCAAGGGGATATGTGGACCTCTTTGAAGATTTCACTGGAAACGGGATCATCTTCACATAAAAACTAAACAGAAGCATTCTCGGAAACTACTTTGTGATGTTTGTATTCAACTCCCAGAGTTGAACTTTCCTTTTGAAAGAGCAGCTATGAAACACTCCTTTTCGAGAATCTGCAAGTGGACGTTTGGAGGGCTTTGAGGCCTGTGGTGGAAAAGGAAATATCTTCACATAAAAACTAGATAGAAGCATTCTCAGAAACGACTTTGTGAGGATGGCATTCAACTCATGGAGTTGAACAATCCTATTGATAGAGCAGATTGGAATCACTCTTTTTGTAGAATCTGCAAATGGAGATTTGGACTGCTTTGAGGCCTACGGTCGTATAGGAAGGAACTTCAGATAAAAGGCAAACGGAAGCATTCTCAGAATATTCTTTGTGATGATGGAGTTTCACTCACAGAGCTGAACATGCCTTTTGATGGAGCAGTTTCCAAATACACTTTTGGTAGAATCTGCAGGTGGATATTTGGAGCTCTCTGAGGATTTCGTTGGAAACGGGAATAATTTCCCATAACTAAACACAAACACTCTGAGAAAGTTCTTCATGATGAATGCATTTAACTCGCAGAGATGAACCTGCCTTTGAGAGTTCAGGTTGGAAACACTCTTTCTGTAGAATCTGCAAGTGGATATTTGGACCACTGGGTGGCCTTCGTTCGAAACGGGTATATGTTCACGTAAAAACTAAAGAGAAGCATTCTCAGAAACTTCTGAGTGATGATTGCATTCAAGTCACACAGTTGAACCCTCCTTTTGATGGAGCAGTTTTGAAACTGTCTTTTTGTAGAATCTGTAAGTGGATACGTGGACCTCTTTGAAGATTTCTTTGGAAACGGGAATATTTCCACAGAAAAACTAAACTGAAGCATTCTCAGAAACCGCGTTGTGATGTTTGTGTTCGAGCCACTGAGTTTAACATTGCTTTTCACAAAGCAGTTTTGAAATATTCTTTTCGCAGAATCTGCAAGTGGACATTTGGAGCGCTTTCAGGCCTGTGGTGGAAAAGGCCTGAAAGCCTTTTCCTTTATCTTCACAGAAAGACGAGAGAGAAGCATTGTCAGAAACTTCTTTGTGATGATTGCATTCAACTCACAGAGTTGAAGATTCCTTTTGAAACAGCAGTTTCGAAACACTCTTTCTGTGGGATCCGCAAGGGGATATTTGGACCTCTTTGAAGATTTCGTTGGAAACGGGATAATCTTCACCTAAAAGCTAAACGGAAGCATTCTCAGAAACTTCTTTGGGATGTTTGCATTCACCTCACAGAGTTGAACTTTCCCTTTGATAGCGCAGCTTTGACACACTTTTTCTACAATGTGCAAGTGGCTATTTAGCGGGCTTGGAGGACTGTGTTGGAAAAGGAAATATCTTCTCCTAAAAACGACATAGAAGCATTCTCAGAAACTGCTCTGTGATGATTGCATTCAACTCCCAGAGTTGAACATTCCTTTTGATAGAGCAGTTTGCAAACACTCTTTTTGTAGAATCTGCAAGTGGAGATTTGGACCGCTTTGAGGCCTGTGGTAGTGAAGGAAAGAACTTCATATAAAAACCAGACGGTAGCACTCTCAGAAAATTCTTTGTGACGATGGAGTTTAACTCAGGGAGCTGAACATTCGTTATGATGGAGCAGTTTCCAAAAACACGTTTTGTAGAATCTGCGAGGGGATATTTGGACCTCTCTGAGGATTTCGTTGGAAACGGGATCAACTTCCCATAACTGAACGGAAGCAAACTCAGAACATTCTTTGTGATGTTTGTATTCAACTCACAGAGTTGAACCATCCTTTGATAGTTCAGGTTTGTAACACCCTTGTAGTAGAATCTGCAAGTGTATATTTTGACCACATTGTAGCCTTCGTTTGAAACGTCTATATCTTCACATCAAACCTAGACAGAAGCATTCTCAGAAAGTTTTCTGCGATGACTGCATTCAACTCACAGAGTTGAACAATCCTTCTGATGGAGCAGTTTTGAAACCCTCTTTCTTTGGAATCTGCAAGGGGATATGTGGACCTCTTTGAAGATTTCACTGGAAACGGGATCATCTTCACATAAAAACTAAACAGAAGCATTCTCGGAAACTATTTTGTGATGTTTGTATTCAACTCCCAGAGTTGAACTTTCCTTTTGAAAGAGCAGCTATGAAACACTCTTTTTCGAGAATCTGCAAGTGGACGTTTGGAGGGCTTTGAGGCCTGTGGTGGAAAAGGAAATATCTTCACACAAAAACCAGATAGAAGCATTCTCAGAAACTACTTTGTGAGGATGGCATTCAACTCATGGAGTTGAACAATCCTATTGATAGAGCAGATTGGAATCACTCTTTTTATAGAATCTGCAAATGGAGATTTGGACTGCTTTGAGGCCTACGGTAGTACAGGAAGGAACTTCATATAAAAGGCAAACGGAAGCATTCTCAGAATATTCTTTGTGATGATGGAGTTTCACTCACAGAGCTGAACATGCCTTTTGATGGAGCAGTTTCCAAATACACTTTTGGTAGAATCTGCAGGTGGATATTTGGAGCTCTCTGAGGATTTCTTTGGAAACGGGAATAATTTCCCATAACTAAACACAAACACTCTGAGAAAGTTCTTCATGATGAATGCATTTAACTCGCAGAGATGAACCTGCCTTTGAGAGTTCAGGTTCGAAACACTCTTTCTGTATAATCTGCAAGTGGATATTTGGACCACTGGGTGGCCTTCGTTCGAAACGGGTATATGTTCACGTAAAAACTAAAGAGAAGCATTCTCAGAAACTTCTGAGTGATGATTGCATTCAAGTCACACAGTTGAACCCTCCTTTTGATGGAGCAGTTTTGAAACTGTCTTTTTGTAGAATCTGTAAGTGGATACGTGGACCTCTTTGAAGATTTCTTTGGAAACGGGAATATTTCCACAGAAAAACTAAACTGAAGCATTCTCAGAAACCGCTTTGTGATGTTTGTGTTCGAGCCACAGAGTTTAACATTGCTTTTCATAGAGCAGTTTTGAAATATTCTTTTGGCAGAATCTGCAAGTGGACATTTGGAGCGCTTTCAGGCCTGTGGGTGGAAAAGGCCTGAAAGCCTTTTCCTTTACCTTCACAGAAAGACGAGAGAGAAGCATTGTCAGAAACTTCTTTGTGATGATTGCATTCAACTCACAGAGTTGAAGATTCCTTTTGAAACAGCAGTTTCGAAACACTCTTTCTGTGGGATCCGCAAGGGGATATTTGGACCTCTTTGAAGGTTTCGTTGGAAACGGGATAATCTTCACCTAAAAGCTAAACGGAAGCATTCTCAGAAACTTCTTTGGGATGTTTGCATTCACCTCACAGAGTTGAACTTTCCCTTTGATAGCGCAGCTTTGACACACTTTTTCTACAATGTGCAAGTGGCTATTTAGCGGGCTTGGAGGACTGTGTTGGAAAAGGAAATATCTTCTAAAAACGACATAGAAGCATTCTCAGAAACTGCTCTGTGATGATTGCATTCAACTCCCAGAGTTGAACATTCCTTTTGATAGAGCAGTTTGCAAACACTCTTTTTGTAGAATCTGCAAGTGGAGATTTGGACCGCTTTGAGGCCTGTGGTAGTGAAGGAAAGAACTTCATATAAAAACCAGACGGTAGCATTCTCAGAAAGTTTTCTGCGATGACTGCATTCAACTCACAGAGTTGAACAATCCTTCTGATGGAGCAGTTTTGAAACCCTCTTTCTTTGGAATCTGCAAGGGGATATGTGGACCTCTTTGAAGATTTCACTGGAAACGGGATCATCTTCACATAAAAACTAAACAGAAGCATTCTCGGAAACTATTTTGTGATGTTTGTATTCAACTCCCAGAGTTGAACTTTCCTTTTGAAAGAGCAGCTATAAAACACTCTTTTTCGAGAATCTGCAAGTGGACGTTTGGAGGGCTTTGAGGCCTGTGGTGGAAAAGGAAATATCTTCACACAAAAACCAGATAGAAGCATTCTCAGAAACGACTTTGTGAGGATGGCATTCAACTCATGGAGTTGAACAATCCTATTGATAGAGCAGATTGGAATCACTCTTTTTGTAGAATCTGCAAATGGAGATTTGGACTGCTTTGAGGCCTACGGTCGTGTATGAAGGAACTTCAGATAAAAGGCAAACGGAAGCATTCTCAGAATATTCTTTGTGATGATGGAGTTTCACTCACAGAGCTGAACATGCCTTTTGATGGAGCAGTTTCCAAATACACTTTTGGTAGAATCTGCAGGTGGATATTTGGAGCTCTCTGAGGATTTCGTTGGAAACGGGAATAATTTCCCATAACTAAACACAAACACGCTGAGAAAGTTCTTCATGATGAATGCATTTAACTCGCAGAGATGAACCTGCCTTTGAGAGTTCAGGTTCAAAACACTCTTTCTGTAGAATCTGCAAGTGGATATTTGGACCACTGGCTGGCCTTCGTTCGAAACGGGTATATGTTCACGTAAAAACTAAAGAGAAGCGTTCTCAGAAACTTCTGAGTGATGAATGCATTCAAGTCACACAGTTGAACCCTCCTTTTGATTGAGCAGTTTTGAAACTGTCTTTTTGTAGAATCTGTAAGTGGATGCGTGGACCTCTTTGAAGATTTCTTTGGAAACGGGAATATTTCCACAGAAAAACTAAACTGAAGCATTCTCAGAAACTGCTTTGTGATGTTTGTGTTCGAGCCACAGAGTTTAACATTGCTTTTCATAGAGCAGTTTTGAAATATTCTTTTGGCAGAATCTGCAAGTGGACATTTGGAGCGCTTTCAGGCCTGTGGTGGAAAAGGCCTGAAAGCCTTTTCCTTTATCTTCACAGAAAGACGAGAGAGAAGTATTGTCAGAAACTTCTTTGTGATGATTGCATTCAACTCACAGAGTTGAAGATTCCTTTTGAAACAGCAGTTTCGAAACACTCTTTCTGTGGGATCCGCAAGGGGATATTTGGACCTCTTTGAAGGTTTCGTTGGAAACGGGATAATCTTCACCTAAAAGCTAAACGGAAGCATTCTCAGAAACTTCTTTGGGATGTTTGCATTCACCTCACAGAGTTGAACTTTCCCTTTGATAGCGCAGCTTTGACACACTTTTTCTACAATGTGCAAGTGGCTATTTAGCGGGCTTGGAGGACTGTGTTGGAAAAGGAAATATCTTCTCCTAAAAACGACATAGAAGCATTCTCAGAAACTGCTCTGTGATGATTGCATTCAACTCCCAGGGTTGAACATTCCTTTTGATAGAGCAGTTTGCAAACACTCTTTTTGTAGAATCTGCAAGTGGAGATTTGGACCGCTTTGAGGCCTATGGTAGTAAAGGAAAGAACTTCATATAAAAACCAGACGGTAGCACTCTCAGAAAATTCTTTGTGACGATGGAGTTTAACTCAGGGAGCTGAACATTCGTTATGATGGAGCAGTTTCCAAACACACGTTTTGTAGAATCTGCAAGGGGATATTTGGACCTCTCTGAGGATTTCGCTGGAAACGGGATCAACTTCCCATAACTGAACGGAAGCAAACTCAGAACATTCTTTGTGATGTTTGTATTCAACTCACAGAGTTGAACCTTCCTTTGATAGTTCAGGTTTGCAACACCCTTGTAGTAGAATCTGCAAGTGTATATTTTGACCACTTTGTAGCCTTCGTTTGAAACGTCTATATCTTCACATCAAACCTAGACAGAAGCATTCTCAGAAAGTTTTCTGCGATGACTGCATTCAACTCACAGAGTTGAACAATCCTTCTGATGGAGCAGTTTTGATACCCTCTTTCTTTGGAATCTGCAAGGGGATATGTGGACCTCTTTGAAGATTTCACTGGAAACGGGATCATCTTCACATAAAAACTAAACAGAAGCATTCTCGGAAACTACTTTGTGATGTTTGTATTCAACTCCCAGAGTTGAACTTTCCTTTTGAAAGAGCAGCTATGAAACACTCTTTTTCGAGAATCTGCAAGTGGACGTTTGGAGGGCTTTGAGGCCTGTGGTGGAAAAGGAAATATCTTCACATAAAAACTAGATAGAAGCATTCTCAGAAACTACTTCGTGAGGATGGCTTTCAACTCATGGAGTTGAACAATCCTATTGATAGAGCAGATTGGAATCACTCTTTTTGTAGAATCTGCAAATGGAGATTTGGACTGCTTTGAGGCCTACGGTCGTATAGGAAGGAACTTCATATAAAAGGCAAACGGAAGCATTCTCAGAATATTCTTTGTGATGATGGAGTTTCACTCACAGAGCTGAACATGCCTTTTGATGGAGCAGTTTCCAAATACACTTTTGGTAGAATCTGCAGGTGGATATTTGGAGCTCTCTGAGGATTTCGTTGGAAACGGGAATAATTTCCCATAACTAAACACAAACACTCTGAGAAAGTTCTTCATGATGAATGCATTTAACTCGCAGAGATGAACCTGCCTTTGAGAGTTCAGGTTCGAAACACTCTTTCTGTAGAATCTGCAAGTGGATATTTGGACCACTGGGTGGCCTTCGTTCAAAACGGGTATATGTTCACGTAAAAACTAAAGAGAAGCATTCTCAGAAACTTCTGAGTGATGATTGCATTCAAGTCACACAGTTGAACCCTCCTTTTGATGGAGCAGTTTTGAAACTGTCTTTTTGTAGAATCTGTAAGTGGATACGTGGACCTCTTTGAAGATTTCTTTGGAAACGGGAATATTTCCACAGAAAAACTAAACTGAAGCATTCTCAGAAACTGCTTTGTGATGTTTGTGTTCGAGCCACAGAGTTTAACATTGCTTTTCATAGAGCAGTTTTGAAATATTCTTTTGGCAGAATCTACAAGTGGACATTTGGAGCGCTTTCAGGCCTGTGGTGGAAAAGGCCTGAAAGCCTTTTCCTTTATCTTCACAGAAAGACGAGAGAGAAGCATTGTCAGAAACTTCTTTGTGATGATTGCATTCAACTCACAGAGTTGAAGATTCCTTTTGAAACAGCAGTTTCGAAACACTCTTTCTGTGGGATCCGCAAGGGGATATTTGGACCTCTTTGAAGATTTCGTTGCAAACGGGATAATCTTCACCTAAAAGCTAAACGGAAGCACTCTCAGAAACTTCTTTGGGATGTTTGCATTCACCTCTCAGAGTTGAACTTTCCCTTTGATAGCGCAGCTTTGACACACTTTTTCTACAATGTGCAAGTGGCTATTTAGCGGGCTTGGAGGACTGTGTTGGAAAAGGAAATATCTTCTCCTAAAAACGACATAGAAGCATTCTCAGAAACTGCTCTGTGATGATTGCATTCAACTCCCAGAGTTGAACATTCCTTTTGATAGAGCAGTTTGCAAACACTCTTTTTGTAGAATCTGCAAGTGGAGATTTGGACCGCTTTGAGGCCTGTGGTAGTAAAGCAAAGAACTTCATATAAAAAGTAGACGGTAGCACTCTCAGAAAATTCTTTGTGACGATGGAGTTTAACTCAGGGAGCTGAACATTCGTTATGATGGAGCAGTTTCCAAACACACGTTTTGTAGAATCTGCGAGGGGATATTTGGACCTCTCTGAGGATTTCGTTGGAAACGGGATCAACTTCCCATAACTGAACGGAAGCAAACTCAGAACATTCTTTGTGATGTTTGTATTCAACTCACAGAGTTGAACCTTCCTTTGATAGTTCAGGTTTGCAACACCCTTGTAGTAGAATCTGCAAGTGTATATTTTGACCACTTTGTAGCCTTCGTTTGAAACGTCTATATCTTCACATCAAACCTAGACAGAAGCATTCTCAGAAAGTTTTCTGCGATGACTGCATTCAACTCACAGAGTTGAACAATCCTTCTGATGGAGCAGTTTTGAAACCCTCTTTCTTTGGAATCTGCAAGGGGATATGTGGACCTCTTTGAAGATTTCACTGGAAACGGGATCATCTTCACATAAAACTAAACAGAAGCATTCTCGGAAACTACTTTGTGATGTTTGTATTCAACTCCCAGAGTTGAACTTTCCTTTTGAAAGAGCAGCTATGAAACACTCTTTTTCGAGAATCTGCAAGTGGACGTTTGGAGGGCTTTGAGGCCTGTGGTGGAAAAGGAAATATCTTCACATAAAAACTAGATAGAAGCATTCTCAGAAACGACTTTGTGAGGATGGCATTCAACTCATGGAGTTGAACAATCCTATTGATAGAGCAGATTGGAATCACTCTTTTTGTAGAATCTGCAAATGGAGATTTCGACTGCTTTGAGGCCTACGGTCGTATAGGAAGGAACTTCATATAAAAGGCAAACGGAAGCATTCTCAGAATATTCTTTGTGATGATGGAGTTTCACTCACAGAGCTGAACATGCCTGTTGATGGAGCAGTTTCCAAATACACTTTTGGTAGAATCTGCAGGTGGATATTTGGACCTCTCAGAGGATTTCGTTGGAAACGGGAGTAATTTCCCATAACTAAACACAAACACGCTGAGAAAGTTCTTCATGACGAATACATTTAACTTTCAGAGATGATCCTGCCTTTGAGAGTTCATGTTCGAAACACTCTTTCTCTAGAATCTGCAAGTGGATATTTGGACCACTGGGTGGCCTTCGTTCGAAACGGGTATATGTTCACGTAAAAACTAAAGAGAAGCATTCTCAGATACTTCTGAGTGATGATTGCATTCAAGTCACACGGTTGAACACTCCTTTTGATGGAGCAGTTTTGAAACTGTCTTTTTGTAGAATCTGTAAGTGGATACGTGGACCTCTTTGAAGATTTCTTTGGAAACGGGAATATTTCCACAGAAAAACTAAACTGAAGCATTCTCAGAAACCGCTTTGTGATGTTTGTGTTCGAGCCACAGAGTTTAACATTGCTTTTCATAGAGCAGTTTTGAAATATTCTTTTGGCAGAATCTGCAAGTGGACATTTGGAGCGCTTTCAGGCCTGTGGTGGAAAAGGCCTGAAAGCCTTTTCCTTTATCTTCACAGAAAGACGAGAGAGAAGCATTGTCAGAAACTTCTTTGTGATGATTGCATTCAACTCACAGAGTTGAAGATTCCTTTTGAAACAGCAGTTTCGAAACACTCTTTCTGTGGGATCCGCAAGGGGATATTTGGACCTCTTTGAAGGTTTCGTTGGAAACGGGATAATCTTCACCTAAAAGCTAAACGGAAGCATTCTCAGAAACTTCTTTGGGATGTTTGCATTCACCTCACAGAGTTGAACTTTCCCTTTGATAGCGCAGCTTCGACACACTTTTTCTACAATGTGCAAGTGGCTATTTAGCGGGCTTGGAGGACTGTGTTGGAAAAGGAAATATCTTCTCCTAAAAACGACATAGAAGCATTCTCAGAAACTGCTCTGTGATGATTGCATTCAACTCCCAGAGTTGAACATTCCTTTTGATAGAGCAGTTTGCAAACACTCTTTTTGTAGAATCTGCAAGTGGAGATTTGGACCGCTTTGAGGCCTGTGGTAGGGAAGGAAAGAACTTCATATAAAAACCAGACGGTAGCACTCTCAGAAAATTCTTTGTGACGATGGAGTTTAACTCAGGGAGCTGAACATTCCTTATGATGGAGCAGTTTCCAAACACACGTTTTGTAGAATCTGCGAGGGGATATTTGGACCTCTCTGAGGATTTCGTTGGAAACGGGATCAACTTCCCATAACTGAACGGAAGCAAACTCAGAACATTCTTTGTGATGTTTGTATTCAACTCACAGAGTTGAACCTTCCTTTGATAGTTCAGGTTTGCAACACCCTTGTAGTAGAATCTGCAAGTGTATATTTTGACCACTTTGTAGCCTTCGTTTGAAACGTCTATATCTTCACATCAAACCTAGACAGAAGCATTCTCAGAAAGTTTTCTGCGATGACTGCATTCAACTCACAGAGTTGAACAATCCTTTTGATGGAGCAGTTGTGAAACCCTCTTTCTTTGGAATCTGCAAGGGGATATGTGGACCTCGTTGAAGATTTCACTGGAAACGGGATCATCTTCACATAAGAACTAAAAAGAAGCATTCTCGGAAACGACTTTGTGATGTTTGTATTCAACTCCCAGAGTTGAACTTTCCTTTTGAAAGAGCAGCTATGAAACAATCTTTTTCGAGAATCTGCAAGTGGACGTTTGGAGGGCTTTGAGGCCTGTGGTGGAAAAGGAAATATCTTCACATAAAAACTAGATAGAAGCATTCTCAGAAACGACTTTGTGAGGACGGCATTCAACTCATGGAGTTGAACAATCCTAATGATAGAGCACATTGGAATCACTCTTTTTGTAGAATCGGCAAATGGAGATTTGGACTGCTTTGAGGCCTACGGTAGTACAGGAAGGAACTTCATATAAAAGGCAAACGGAAGCATTCTCAGAATATTCTTTGTGATGATGGAGTTTCACTCACAGAGCTGAACATGCCTTTTGATGGAGCAGTTTCCAAATACACTTTTGGTAGAATCTGCAGGTGGATATTTGGAGCTCTTTGAGGATTTCGTTGGAAACGGGAATAATTTCCCATAACTAAACACAAACACGCTGAGAAAGTTCTTCATGATGAATGCATTTAACTCGCAGAGATGAACCTGCCTTTGAGAGTTCAGGTTCGAAACACTCTTTCTGTAGAATCTGCAAGTGGATATTTGGACCACTGGCTGACCTTCGTTCGAAACGGGTATATGTTCACGTAAAAACTAAAGAGAAGCATTCTCAGAAACTTCTGAGTGATGATTGCATTCAAGTCACACAGTTGAACCCTCCTTTTGATGGAGCAGTTTTGAAACTGTCTTTTTGTAGAATCTGTAAGTGGATACGTGGACCTCTTTGAAGATTTCTTTGGAAACGGGAATATTTCCACAGAAAAACTAAACTGAAGCATTCTCAGAAACCGCTTTGTGATGTTTGTGTTCGAGCCGCAGAGTTTAACATTGCTTTTCATAGAGCAGTTTTGAAATATTCTTTTGGCAGAATCTGCAAGTGGACATTTGGAGCGCTTTCAGGCCTGTGGTGGAAAAGGCCTGAAAGCCTTTTCCTTTATCTTCACAGAAAGACGAGAGAGAAGCATTGTCAGAAACTTCTTTGTGATGATTGCATTCAACTCACAGAGTTGAAGATTCCTTTTGAAACAGCAGTTTTGAAACACTCTTTCTGTGGGATCCGCAAGGGGATATTTGGACCTCTTTGAAGGTTTCGTTGGAAACGGGATAATCTTCACCTAAAAGCTAAACGGAAGCATTCTCAGAAACTTCTTTGGGATGTTTGCATTCACCTCACAGAGTTGAACTTTCCCTTTGATAGCGCAGCTTTGACACACTTTTTCTACAATGTGCAAGTGGCTATTTAGCGGGCTTGGAGGACTGTGTTGGAAAAGGAAATATCTTCTAAAAACGACATAGAAGCATTCTCAGAAACTGCTCTGTGATGATTGCATTCAACTCCCAGAGTTGAACATTCCTTTTGATAGAGCAGTTTGCAAACACTCTTTTTGTAGAATCTGCAAGTGGAGATTTGGACCGCTTTGAGGCCTGTGGTAGTGAAGGAAAGAACTTCATATAAAAACCAGACGGTAGCACTCTCAGAAAATTCTTTGTGACGATGGAGTTTAACTCAGGGAGCTGAACATTCGTTATGATGGAGCAGTTTCCAAACACACGTTTTGTAGAATCTGCGAGGGGATATTTGGACCTCTCTGAGGATTTCGTTGGAAACGGGATCAACTTCCCATAACTGAACGGAAGCAAACTCAGAACATTCTTTGTGATGTTTGTATTCAATTCACAGAGTTGAACCTTCCTTTGATAGTTCAGGTTTGCAACACCCTTGTAGTAGAATCTGCAAGTGTATATTTTGACCACTTTGTAGCCTTCGTTTGAAACGTCTATATCTTCACATCAAACCTAGACAGAAGCATTCTCAGAAAGTTTTCTGCGATGACTGCATTCAACTCACAGAGTTGAACAATCCTTCTGATGGAGCAGTTTTGAAACCCTCTTTCTTTGGAATCTGCAAGGGGATATGTGGACCTCTTTGAAGATTTCACTGGAAACGGGATCATCTTCACATAAAAACTAAACAGAAGCATTCTCGGAAACTATTTTGTGATGTTTGCATTCAACTCCCAGAGTTGAACTTTCCTTTTGAAAGAGCAGCTATGAAACACTCTTTTTCGAGAATCTGCAAGTGGACGTTTGGAGGGCTTTGAGGCCTGTGGTGGAAAAGGAAATATCTTCACACAAAAACCAGATAGAAGCATTCTCAGAAACTACTTTGTGAGGATGGCATTCAACTCATGGAGTTGAACAATCCTATTGATAGAGCAGATTGGAATCACTCTTTTTATAGAATCTGCAAATGGAGATTTGGACTGCTTTGAGGCCTACGGTAGTACAGGAAGGAACTTCAGATAAAAGGCAAACGGAAGCATTCTCAGAATATTCTTTGTGATGATGGAGTTTCACTCACAGAGCTGAACATGCCTTTTGATGGAGCAGTTTCCAAATACACTTTTGGTAGAATCTGCAGGTGGATATTTGGAGCTCTCTGAGGATTTCGTTGGAAACGGGAATAATTTCCCATAACTAAACACAAACACTCTGAGAAAGTTCTTCATGATGAATGCATTTAACTCGCAGAGATGAACCTGCCTTTGAGAGTTCAGGTTCGAAACACTCTTTCTGTATAATCTGCAAGTGGATATTTGGACCACTGGGTGGCCTTCGTTCGAAACGGGTATATGTTCACGTAAAAACTAAAGAGAAGCATTCTCAGAAACTTCTGAGTGATGATTGCATTCAAGTCACACAGTTGAACCCTCCTTTTGATTGAGCAGTTTTGAAACTGTCTTTTTGTAGAATCTGTAAGTGGATACGTGGACCTCTTTGAAGATTTCTTTGGAAACGGGAATATTTCCACAGAAAAACTAAACTGAAACATTCTCAGAAACCGCTTTGTGATGTTTGTGTTCCAGCCACAGAGTTTAACATTGCTTTTCATAGAGCAGTTTTGAAATATTCTTTTGGCAGAATCTGCAAGTGGACATTTGGAGCGCTTTCAGGCCTGTGGTGGAAAAGGCCTGAAAGCCTTTTCCTTTATCTTCACAGAAAGACGAGAGAGAAGCATTGTCAGAAACTTCTTTGTGATGATTGCATTCAACTCACAGAGTTGAAGATTCCTTTTGAAACAGCAGTTTCGAAACACTCTTTCTGTGGGATCCGCAAGGGGATATTTGGACCTCTTTGAAGGTTTCGTTGGAAACGGGATAATCTTCACCTAAAAGCTAAACGGAAGCATTCTCAGAAACTTCTTTGGGATGTTTGCATTCACCTCACAGAGTTGAACTTTCCCTTTGATAGCGCAGCTTTGACACACTTTTTCTACAATGTGCAAGTGGCTATTTAGCGGGCTTGGAGGACTGTGTTGGAAAAGGAAATATCTTCTCCTAAAAACGACATAGAAGCATTCTCAGAAACTGCTCTGTGATGATTGCATTCAACTCCCAGAGTTGAACATTCCTTTTGATAGAGCAGTTTGCAAACACTCTTTTTGTAGAATCTGCAAGTGGAGATTTGGACCGCTTTGAGGCCTGTGGTAGTGAAGGAAAGAACTTCATATAAAAACCAGACGGTAGCACTCTCAGAAAATTCTTTGTGACGATGGAGTTTAACTCAGGGAGCTGAACATTCGTTATGATGGAGCAGTTTCCAAACACACGTTTTGTAGAATCTGCAAGGGGATATTTAGACCTCTCTGAGGATTTCGTTGGAAACGGGATCAACTTCCCATAACTGAACGGAAGCAAACTCAGAACATTCTTTGTGATGTTTGTATTCAACTCACAGAGTTGAACCTTCCTTTGATAGTTCAGGTTTGCAACACCCTTGTAGTAGAATCTGCAAGTGTATATTTTGACCACTTTGTAGCCTTCGTTTGAAACGTCTATATCTTCACATCAAACCTAGACAGAAGCATTCTCAGAAAGTTTTCTGCGATGACTGCATTCAACTCACAGAGTTGAACAATCCTTTTGATGGAGCAGTTTTGAAACCCTCTTTCTTTGGAATCTGCAAGGGGATATCTGGACCTCTTTGAAGATTTCACTGGAAACGGGATCATCTTCACATAAGAACTAAACAGAAGCATTCTCGGAAACTACTTTGTGATGTTTGTATTCAACTGCCAGAGTTGAACTTTCCTTTTGAAAGAGCAGCTATGAAACACTCTTTTTCGAGAATCTGCAAGTGGACGTTTGGAGGGCTTTGAGGCCTGTGGTGGAAAAGGAAATATCTTCACATAAAAACTAGATAGAAGCATTCTCAGAAACTACTTTGGAAGATGGCATTCAACTCATGGAGTTGAACAATCCTATTGATAGAGCAGATTGGAATCACTCTTTTTGTAGAATCTGCAAATGGAGATTTGGACTGCTTTGAGGCCTACGGTCGTATAGGAAGGAACTTCATATAACAGGCAAACGGAAGCATTCTCAGAATATTCTTTGTGATGATGGAGTTTCACTCACAGAGCTGAACATGCCTTTTGATGGAGCAGTTTCCAAATACACTTTTGGTAGAATCTGCAGGTGGATATTTGGAGCTCTTTGAGGATTTCGTTGGAAACGGGAATAATTTCCCATAACTAAACACAAACACGCTGAGAAATTTCTTCATGATGAATGCATTTAACTCGCAGTGATGAACCTGCCTTTGAGAGTTCAGGTTCGAAACACTCTTTCTGTAGAATCTGCAAGTGGATATTTGGACCACTGGGTGGCCTTCGTTCGAAACGGGTATATGTTCACGTAAAAACTAAAGAGAAGCATTCTCAGAAACTTCTGAGTGATGATTGCATTCAAGTCACACAGTTGAACCCTCCTTTTGATGGAGCAGTTTTGAAACTGTCTTTTTGTAGAATCTGTAAGTGGATACGTGGACCTCTTTGAAGATTTCTTTGGAAACGGGAATATTTCCACAGAAAAACTAAACTGAAGCATTCTCAGAAACCGCTTTGTGATGTTTGTGTTCGAGCCACAGAGTTTAACATTGCTTTTCATAGAGCAGTTTTGAAATATTCTTTTGGCAGAATCTGCAAGTGGACATTTGGAGCGCTTTCAGGCCTGTGGTGGAAAAGGCCTGAAAGCCTTTTCCTTTATCTTCACAGAAAGACGAGAGAGAAGCATTGTCAGAAACTTCTTTGTGATGATTGCATTCAACTCACAGAGTTGAAGATTCCTTTTGAAACAGCAGTTTCGAAACACTCTTTCTGTGGGATCCGCAAGGGGATATTTGGACCTCTTTGAAGGTTTCGTTGGAAACGGGATAATCTTCACCTAAAAGCTAAACGGAAGCATTCTCAGAAACTTCTTTGGGATGTTTGCATTCACCTCACAGAGTTGAACTTTCCCTTTGATAGCGCAGCTTTGACACACTTTTTCTACAATGTGCAAGTGGCTATTTAGCGGGCTTGGAGGACTGTGTTGGAAAAGGAAATATCTTCTCCTAAAAACGACATAGAAGCATTCTCAGAAACTGCTCTGTGATGATTGCATTCAACTCCCAGAGTTGAACATTCCTTTTGATAGAGCAGTTTGCAAACACTCTTTTTGTAGAATCTGCAAGTGGAGATTTGGACCGCTTTGAGGCCTGTGGTAGTGAAGGAAAGAACTTCATATAAAAACCAGACGGTAGCACTCTCAGAAAATTCTTTGTGACGATGGAGTTTAACTCAGGGAGCTGAACATTCCTTATGATGGAGCAGTTTCCAAACACACGTTTTGTAGAATCTGCGAGGGGATATTTGGACCTCTCTGAGGATTTCGTTGGAAACGGGATCAACTTCCCATAACTGAACGGAAGCAAACTCAGAACATTCTTTGTGATGTTTGTATTCAACTCACAGAGTTGAACCTTCCTTTGATAGTTCAGGTTTGCAACACCCTTGTAGTAGAATCTGCAAGTGTATATTTTGACCACTTTGTAGCCTTCGTTTGAAACGTCTATATCTTCACATCAAACCTAGACAGAAGCATTCTCAGAAAGTTTTCTGCGATGACTGCATTCTACTCACAGAGTTGAGCAATCCTTTTGATGGAGCAGTTTTGAAACCCACTTTCTTTGGAATCTGCAAGGGCATATGTGGACCTCTTTGAAGATTTCACTGGAAACGGGATCATCTTCACATAAGAACTAAACAGAAGCATTCTCGGAAACTACTTTGTGATGTTTGTATTCAACTCCCAGAGTTGAACTTTCCTTTTGAAAGAGCAGCTATGAAACACTCTTTTTCGAGAATCTGCAAGTGGATGTTTGGAGGGCTTTGAGGCCTGTGGTGGAAAAGGAAATATCTTCACATAAAAACTAGATAGAAGCATTCTCAGAAACGACTTTGTGAGGAAGGCATTCAACTCATGGAGTTGAACAATCCTATTGATAGAGCAGATTGGAATCACTCTTTTTGTAGAATCTGCAAATGGAGATTTGGACTGCTTTGAGGCCTACGGTAGTATAGGAAGGAACTTCATATAAAAGGCAAACGGAAGCATTCTCAGAATATTCTTTGTGATGATGGAGTTTCACTCACAGAGCTGAACATGCCTTTTGATGGAGCAGTTTCCAAATACACTTTTGGTAGAATCTGCAGGTGGATATTTGGACCTCTCTGAGGATTTCGTTGGAAACGGGAATAATTTCCCATAACTAAACACAAACACGCTGAGAAAGTTCTTCATGATGAATGCATTTAACTCGCAGAGATGAACCTGCCTTTGAGAGTTCAGGTTCGAAACACTCTTTCTGTAGAATCTGCAAGTGGATATTTGGACCACTGGCTGGCCTTCATTCGAAACGGGTATATGTTCACGTAAAAACTAAAGAGAAGCATTCTCAGAAACTTCTGAGTGATGATTGCATTCAAGTCACACAGTTGAACCCTCCTTTTGATGGAGCAGTTTTGAAACTGTCCTTTTGTAGAATCTGTAAGTGGATACGTGGACCTCTTTGAAGATTTCTTTGGAAACGGGAATATTTCCACAGAAAAACTAAACTGAAGCATTCTCAGAAACCGCTTTGTGATGTTTGTGTTCGAGCCACAGAGTTTAACATTGCTTTTCATAGAGCAGTTTTGAAATATTCTTTTGGCAGAATCTGCAAGTGGACATTTGGAGCGCTTTCAGGCCTGTGGTGGCAAAGGCCTGAAAGCCTTTTCCTTTATCTTCACAGAAAGACGAGAGAGAAGCATTGTCAGAAACTTCTTTGTGATGATTGCATTCAACTCACAGAGTTGAAGATTCCTTTTGAAACAGCAGTTTCGAAACACTCTTTCTGTGGGATCCGCAAGGGGATATTTGGACCTCTTTGAAGGTTTCGTTGGAAACGGGATAATCTTCACCTAAAAGCTAAACGGAAGCATTCTCAGAAACTTCTTTGGGATGTTTGCATTCACCTCACAGAGTTGAACTTTCCCTTTGATAGCGCAGCTTTGACACACTTTTTCTACAATGTGCAAGTGGCTATTTAGCGGGCTTGGAGGACTGTGTTGGAAAAGGAAATATCTTCTCCTAAAAACGACATAGAAGCATTCTCAGAAACTGCTCTGTGATGATTGCATTCAACTCCCAGAGTTGAACATTCCTTTTGATAGAGCAGTTTGCAAACACTCTTTTTGTAGAATCTGCAAGTGGAGATTTGGACCGCATTGAGGCCTGTGGTAGTGAAGGAAAGAACTTCATATAAAAACCAGACGGTAGCACTCTCAGAAAATTCTTTGTGACGATGGAGTTTAACTCAGGGAGCTGGACATTCGTTATGATGGAGCAGTTTCCAAACACACGTTTTGTAGAATCTGCAAGGGGATATTTGGACCTCTCTGAGGATTTCGTTGGAAACGGGATCAACTTCCCATAACTGAACGGAAGCAAACTCAGAACATTCTTTGTGATGTTTGTATTCAACTCACAGAGTTGAACCTTCCTTTGATAGTTCAGGTTTGCAACACCCTTGTAGTAGAATCTGCAAGTGTATATTTTGACCACTTTGTAGCCTTCATTTGAAACGTCTATATCTTCACATCAAACCTAGACAGAAGCATTCTCAGAAAGTTTTCTGCGATGACTGCATTCAACTCACAGAGTTGAACAATCCTTCTGATGGAGCAGTTTTGAAACCCTCTTTCTTTGGAATCTGCAAGGGGATATGTGGACCTCTTTGAAGATTTCACTGGAAACGGGATCATCTTCACATAAAAACTAAACAGAAGCATTCTCGGAAACTATTTTGTGATGTTTGCATTCAACTCCCAGAGTTGAACTTTCCTTTTGAAAGAGCAGCTATGAAACACTCTTTTTCGAGAATCTGCAAGTGGACGTTTGGAGGGCTTTGAGGCCTGTGGTGGAAAAGGAAATATCTTCACACAAAAACCAGATAGAAGCATTCTCAGAAACTACTTTGTGAGGATGGCATTCAACTCATGGAGTTGAACAATCCTATTGATAGAGCAGATTGGAATCACTCTTTTTATAGAATCTGCAAATGGAGATTTGGACTGCTTTGAGGCCTACGGTAGTACAGGAAGGAACTTCATATAAAAGGCAAACGGAAGCATTCTCAGAATATTCTTTGTGATGATGGAGTTTCACTCACAGAGCTGAACATGCCTTTTGATGGAGCAGTTTCCAAATACACTTTTGGTAGAATCTGCAGGTGGATATTTGGAGCTCTCTGAGGATTTCGTTGGAAACGGGAATAATTTCCCATAACTAAACACAAACACTCTGAGAAAGTTCTTCATGATGAATGCTTTTAACTCGCAGAGATGAACCTGCCTTTGAGAGTTCAGGTTCGAAACACTCTTTCTGTAGAATCTGCAAGTGGATATTTGGACCACTGGGTGGCCTTCGTTCGAAACGGGTATATGTTCACGTAAAAACTAAAGAGAAGCATTCTCAGAAACTTCTGAGTGATGATTGCATTCAAGTCACACAGTTGAACCCTCCTTTTGATGGAGCAGTTTTGAAACTGTCTTTTTGTAGAATCTGTAAGTGGATACGTGGACCTCTTTGAAGATTTCTTTGGAAACGGGAATATTTCCACAGAAAAACTAAACTGAAACATTCTCAGAAACCGCTTTGTGATGTTTGTGTTCCAGCCACAGAGTTTAACATTGCTTTTCATAGAGCAGTTTTGAAATATTCTTTTGGCAGAATCTGCAAGTGGACATTTGGAGCGCTTTCAGGCCTGTGGTGGCAAAGGCCTGAAAGCCTTTTCCTTTATCTTCACAGAAAGACGAGAGAGAAGCATTGTCAGAAACTTCTTTGTGATGATTGCATTCAACTCACAGAGTTGAAGATTCCTTTTGAAACAACAGTTTCGAAACACTCTTTCTGTGGGATCCGCAAGGGGATATTTGGACCTCTTTGAAGGTTTCGTTGGAAACGGGATAATCTTCACCTAAAAGCTAAACGGAAGCATTCTCAGAAACTTCTTTGGGATGTTTGCATTCACCTCACAGAGTTGAACTTTCCCTTTGATAGCGCAGCTTTGACACACTTTTTCTACAATGTGCAAGTGGCTATTTAGCGGGCTTGGAGGACTGTGTTGGAAAAGGAAATATCTTCTCCTAAAAACGACATAGAAGCATTCTCAGAAACTGCTCTGTGATGATTGCATTCAACTCCCAGAGTTGAACATTCCTTTTGATAGAGCAGTTTGCAAACACTCTTTTTGTAGAATCTGCAAGTGGAGATTTGGACCGCTTTGAGGCCTGTGGTAGTGAAGGAAAGAACTTCATATAAAAACCAGACGGTAGCACTCTCAGAAAATTCTTTGTGACGATGGAGTTTAACTCAGAGAGCTGAACATTCGTTATGATGGAGCAGTTTCCAAACACACGTTTTGTAGAATCTACAAGGGGATATTTGGACCTCTCTGAGGATTTCGTTGGAAACGGGATCAACTTCCCATAACTGAACGGAAGCAAACTCAGTACATTCTTTGTGATGTTTGTATTCAACTCACAGAGTTGATCCTTCCTTTGATAGTTGAGGTTTGCAACACCCTTGTAGTAGAATCTGCAAGTGTATATTTTGACCACTTTGTAGCCTTCGTTTGAAACGTCTATATCTTCACCTCAAACCTAGACAGAAGCATTCTCAGAAAGTTTTCTGCGATGACTGCATTCAACTCACAGAGTTGAACAATCCTTTTGATGGAGCAGTTTTGAAACCCTCTTTCTTTGGAATCTGCAAGGGGATATGTGGACCTCTTTGAAGATTTCACTGGAAACGGGATCATCTTCACATAAGAACTAAACAGAAGCATTCTCGGAAACTACTTTGTGATGTTTGTATTCAACTCCCAGAGTTGAACTTTCCTTTTGAAAGAGCAGCTATGAAACACTCTTTTTCGAGAATCTGCAAGTGGACGTTTGGAGGGCTTTGAGGCCTGTGGTGGAAAAGGAAATATCTTCACATAAAAACTAGATAGAAGCATTCTCAGAAACTACTTTGTGAGGATGGCATTCAACTCATGGAGTTGAACAATCCTATTGATAGAGCAGATTGGAATCACTCTTTTTGTAGAATCTGCAAATGGAGATTTGGACTGCTTTGAGGCCTACGGTAGTATAGGAAGGAACTTCATATAAAAGGCGAACGGAAGCATTCTCAGAATATTCTTTGTGATGATGGAGTTTCACTCACAGAGCTGAACATGCCTTTTGATGGAGCAGTTTCCAAATACACTTTTGGTAGAATCTGCAGGTGGATATTTGGAGCTCTCTGAGGATTTCGTTGGAAACGGGAATAATTTCCCATAACTAAACACAAACACGCTGAGAAAGTTCTTCATGATGAATGCATTTAACTCGCAGAGATGAACCTGCCTTTGAGAGTTCAGGTTCGAAACACTCTTTCTGTAGAATCTGCAAGTGGATATTTGGACCACTGGCTGGCCTTCGTTCGAAACGGGTATATGTTCACGTAAAAACTAAAGAGAAGCATTCTCAGAAACTTCTGAGTGATGAATGCATTCAAGTCACACAGTTGAACCCTCCTTTTGATTGAGCAGTTTTGAAACTGTCTTTTTGTAGAATCTGTAAGTGGATGCGTGGACCTCTTTGAAGATTTCTTTGGAAACGGGAATATTTCCACAGAAAAACTAAACTGAAGCATTCTCAGAAACTGCTTTGTGATGTTTGTGTTCGAGCCGCAGAGTTTAACATTGCTTTTCATAGAGCAGTTTTGAAATATTCTTTTGGCAGAATCTGCAAGTGGACATTTGGAGCGCTTTCAGGCCTGTGGTGGAAAAGGCCTGAAAGCCTTTTCCTTTATCTTCACAAAAAGACGAGAGAGAAGAATTGTCAGAAACTTCTTTGTGATGATTGCATTCAACTCACAGAGTTGAAGATTCCTTTTGAAACAGCAGTTTCGAAACACTCTTTCTGTGGGATCCGCAAGGGGATATTTGGACCTCTTTGAAGATTTCGTTGGAAACGGGATAATCTTCACTTAAAGCTAAACGGAAGCATTCTCAGAAACTTCTTTGGGATGTTTGCATTCACCTCACAGAGTTGAACTTTCCCTTTGATAGCGCAGCTTCGACACACTTTTTCTACAATGTGCAAGTGGATATTTAGCGGGCTTGGAGGACTGTGTTGGAAAAGGAAATATCTTCTCCTAAAAACGACATAGAAGCATTCTCAGAAACTGCTCTGTGATGATTGCATTCAACTCCCAGAGTTGAACATTCCTTTTGATAGAGCAATTTGCAAACACTCTTTTTGTAGAATCTGCAAGTGGAGATTTGGACCGCTTTGAGGCCTGTGGTAGTAAAGGAAAGAACTTCATATAAAAAGTAGACGGTAGCACTCTCAGAAAATTCTTTGTGACGATGGAGTTTAACTCAGAGAGCTGAACATTCGTTATGATGGAGCAGTTTCCAAACACACGTTTTGTAGAATCTGCAAAGGGATATTTGGACCTCTCTGAGGATTTCGTTGGAAACGGGATCAACTTCCCATAACTGAACGGAAGCAAACTCAGAACATTCTTTGTGATGTTTGTATTCAACTCACAGAGTTGAACCTTCCTTTGGATAGTTCAGGTTTGCAACACCCTTGTAGTAGAATCTGCAAGTGTATATTTTGACCACTTTGTAGCCTTCGTTTGAAACGTCTATATCTTCACATCAAACCTAGACAGAAGCATTCTCAGAAAGTTTTCTGCGATGACTGCATTCAACTCACAGAGTTGAACAATCCTTCTGATGGAGCAGTTTTGAAACCCTCTTTCTTTGGAATCTGCAAGGGGATATGTGGACCTCTTTGAAGATTTCACTGGAAACGGCATCATCTTCACATAAAAACTAAACAGAAGCATTCTCGGAAACTACTTTGTGATGTTTGTATTCAACTCCCAGAGTTGAACTTTCCTTTTGAAAGAGCAGCTATGAAACACTCTTTTTCGAGAATCTGCAAGTGGACGTTTGGAGGGCTTTGAGGCCTGTGGTGGAAAAGGAAATATCTTCACATAAAAACTATATAGAAGCATTCTCAGAAACTACTTTGTGAGGATGGCATTCAACTCATGGAGTTGAACAATCCTATTGATAGAGCAGATTGGAATCACTCTTTTTGTAGAATCTGCAAATGGAGATTTGGACTGCTTTGAGGCCTACGGTAGTACAGGAAGGAAGTTCATATAAAAGGCAAACGGAAGCATTCTCAGAATATTCTTTGTGATGATGGAGTTTCACTCACAGAGCTGAACATGCCTTTTGATGGAGCAGTTTCCAAATACACTTTTGGTAGAATCTGCAGGTGGATATTTGGAGCTCTCTGAGGCTTTCGTTGGAAACGGGAATAATTTCCCATAACTAAACACAAACACTCTGAGAAAGTTCTTCATGATGAATGCATTTAACTCGCAGAGATGAACCTGCCTTTGAGAGTTCAGGTTCGAAACACTCTTTCTGTAGAATCTGCAAGTGGATATTTGGACCACTGGCTGGCCTTCGTTCGAAACGGGTATATGTTCACGTAAAAACTAAAGAGAAGCATTCTCAGAAACTTCTGAGTGATGATTGCATTCAAGTCACACAGTTGAACCCTCCTTTTGATGGAGCAGTTTTGAAACTGTCTTTTTGTAGAATCTGTAAGTGGATACGTGGACCTCTTTGAAGATTTCTTTGGAAACGGGAATATTTCCACAGAAAAACTAAACTGAAGCATTCTCAGAAACTGCTTTGTGATGTTTGTGTTCGAGCCACAGAGTTTAACATTGCTTTTCATAGAGCAGTTTTGAAATATTCTTTTGGCAGAATCTGCAAGTGGACATTTAGAGCGCTTTCAGGCCTGTGGTGGAAAAGGCCTGAAAGCCTTCTCCTTTAACTTCACAGAAAGACGAGAGAGAAGCATTGTCAGAAACTTCTTTGTGATGATTGCATTCAACTCACAGAGTTGAAGATTCCTTTTGAAACAGCAGTTTCGAAACACTCTTTCTGTGGGATCCGCAAGGGGATATTTGGACCTCTTTGAAGGTTTCGTTGGAAACGGGATAATCTTCACCTAAAAGCTAAACGGAAGCATTCTCAGAAACTTCTTTGGGATGTTTTGCATTCACCTCACAGAGTTGAACTTTCCCTTTGATAGCGCAGCTTTGACACACTTTTTCTACAATGTGCAAGTGGCTATTTAGCGGGCTTGGAGGACTGTGTTGGAAAAGGAAATATCTTCTCCTAAAAACGACATAGAAGCATTCTCAGAAACTGCTCTGTGATGATTGCATTCAACTCCCAGAGTTGAACATTCCTTTTGATAGAGCAGTTTGCAAACACTCTTTTTGTAGAATCTGCAAGTGGAGATTTGGACCGCATTGAGGCCTGTGGTAGTGAAGGAAAGAACTTCATATAAAAACCAGACGGTAGCACTCTCAGAAAATTCTTTGTGACGATGGAGTTTAACTCAGGGAGCTGAACATTCGTTATGATGGAGCAGTTTCCAAACACACGTTTTGTAGAATCTGCAAGGGGATATTTGGACCTCTCTGAGGATTTCGTTGGAAACGGGATCAACTTCCCATAACTGAACGGAAGCAAACTCAGAACATTCTTTGTGATGTTTGTATTCAACTCACAGAGTTGAACCTTCCTTTGATAGTTCAGGTTTGCAACACCCTTGTAGTAGAATCTGCAAGTGTATATTTTGACCACTTTGTAGCCTTCGTTTGAAACATCTATATCTTCACATCAAACCTAGACAGAAGCATTCTCAGAAAGTTTTCTGCGATGACTGCATTCAACTCACAGAGTTGAACAATCCTTCTGATGGAGCAGTTTTGAAACCCTCTTTCTTTGGAATCTTCAAGGGGATATGTGGACCTCTTTGAAGATTTCACTGGAAACGGGATCATCTTCACATAAAAACTAAACTGAAGCATTCTCGGAAACTACTTTGTGATGTTTGTATTCAACTCCCAGAGTTGAACTTTCCTTTTGAAAGAGCAGCTATGAAACACTCTTTTTCGAGAATCTGCAAGTGGACGTTTGGAGGGCTTTGAGGCCTGTGGTGGAAAAGGAAATATCTTCACATAAAAACTAGATAGAAGCATTCTCAGAAACGACTTTGTGAGGATGGCATTCAACTCATGGAGTTGAACAATCCTATTGATAGAGCAGATTGGAATCACTCTTTTTGTAGAATCTGCAAATGGAGATTTGGACTGCTTTGAGGCCTACGGTAGTATAGGAAGGAACTTCATATAAAAGGCAAACGGAAGCATTCTCAGAATATTCTTTGTGATGATGGAGTTTCACTCACAGAGCTGAACATGCCTTTTGATGGAGCAGTTTCCAAATACACTTTTGGTAGAATCTGCAGGTGGATATTTGGAGCTGCTCTGAGGATTTCGTTGGAAACGGGAATAATTTCCCATAACTAAACACAAACACTCTGAGAAAGTTCTTCATGATGAATGCATTTAACTCGCAGAGATGAACCTGCCTTTGAGAGTTCAGGTTCGAAACACTCTTTCTGTAGAATCTGCAAGTGGATATTTGGACCACTGGCTGGCCTTCGTTCGAAACGGGTATATGTTCACGTAAAAACTAAAGAGAAGCATTCTCAGAAACTTCTGAGTGATGATTGCATTCAAGTCACACAGTTGAACCCTCGTTTTGATGGAGCAGTTTTGAAACTGTCTTTTTGTAGAATCTGTAAGTGGATACGTGGACCTCTTTGAAGATTTCTTTGGAAACGGGAATATTTCCACAGAAAAACTAAACTGAAGCATTCTCAGAAACCGCTTTGTGATGTTTGTGTTTGAGCCGCAGAGTTTAACATTGCTTTTCATAGAGCAGTTTTGAAATATTCTTTTGGCAGAATCTGCAAGTGGACATTTGGAGCGCTTTCAGGCCTGTGGTGGAAAAGGCCTGAAAGCCTTTTCCTTTATCTTCACAGAAAGACGAGAGAGAAGCATTGTCAGAAACTTCTTTGTGATGATTGCATTCAACTCACAGAGTTGAAGATTCCTTTTGAAACAGCAGTTTCGAAACACTCTTTCTGTGGGATCCGCAAGGGGATATTTGGACCTCTTTGAAGGTTTCGTTGGAAACGGGATAATCTTCACCTAAAAGCTAAACGGAAGCATTCTCAGAAACTTCTTTGGGATGTTTGCATTCACCTCACAGAGTTGAACTTTCCCTTTGATAGCGCAGCTTCGACACACTTTTTCTACAATGTGCAAGTGGATATTTAGCGGGCTTCGAGGACTGTGTTGGAAAAGGAAGTATCTTCTCCTAAAAACGACATAGAAGCATTCTCAGAAACTGCTCTGTGATGATTGCATTCAACTCCCAGAGTTGAACATTCCTTTTGATAGAGCAGTTTGCAAACACTCTTTTTGTAGAATCTGCAAGTGGAGATTTGGACCGCTTTGAGGCCTGTGGTAGTGAAGGAAAGAACTTCATATAAAAACCAGACGGTAGCACTCTCAGAAAATTCTTTGTGACGATGGAGTTTAACTCAGGGAGCTGAACATTCGTTATGATGGAGCAGTTTCCAAACACACGTTTTGTAGAATCTGCAAGGGGATATTTGGACCTCTCTGAGGATTTCGTTGGAAACGGGATCAACTTCCCATAACTGAACGGAAGCAAACTCAGAACATTCTTTGTGATGTTTGTATTCAACTCACAGAGTTGAACCTTCCTTTGATAGTTCAGGTTTGCAACACCCTTGTAGTAGAATCTGCAAGTGTATATTTTGACCACTTTGTAGCCTTCGTTTGAAACGTCTATATCTTCACATCAAACCTAGACAGAAGCATTCTCAGAAAGTTTTCTGTGATGACTGCATTCAACTCACAGAGTTGAACAATCCTTCTGATGGAGCAGTTTTGAAACCCTCTTTCTTTGGAATCTGCAAGGGGATATGTGGACCTCTTTGAAGATTTCACTGGAAACGGGATCATCTTCACATAAAAACTAAACAGAAGCATTCTCGGAAACTACTTTGTGATGTTTGTATTCAACTCCCAGAGTTGAACTTTCCTTTTGAAAGAGCAGCTATAAAACACTCTTTTTCGAGAATCTGCAAGTGGACGTTTGGAGGGCTTTGAGGCCTGTGGTGGAAAAGGAAATATCTTCACATAAAAACTAGATAGAAGCATTCTCAGAAACGACTTGGTGAGGATGGCATTCAACTCATGGAGTTGAACAATCCTATTGATAGAGCAGATTGGAATCACTCTTTTTGTAGAATCTGCAAATGGAGATTTGGACTGCTTTGAGGCCTACGGTCGTATAGGAAGGAACTTCATATAAAAGGCAAACGGAAGCATTCTCAGAATATTCTTTGTGATGATGGAGTTTCACTCACAGAGCTGAACATGCCTTTTGATGGAGCAGTTTCCAAAAACACTTTTGGTAGAATCTGCAGGTGGATATTTGGAGCTCTCTGAGGATTTCGTTGGAAACGGGAATAATTTCCCATAACTAAACACAAACACTCTGAGAAAGTTCTTCATGATGAATGCATTTAACTCGCAGAGATGAACCTGCCTTTGAGAGTTCAGGTTCGAAACACTCTTTCTGTAGAATCTGCAAGTGGATATTTGGACCACTGGCTGGCCTTCGTTCGAAACGGGTATATGTTCACGTAAAAACTAAAGAGAATCATTCTCAGAAACTTCTGAGTGATGATTGCATTCAAGTCACACAGTTGAACCCTCCTTTTGATGGAGCAGTTTTGAAACTGTCTTTTTGTAGAATCTGTAAGTGGATACGTGGACCTCTTTGAAGATTTCTTTGGAAACGGGAATATTTCCAAAGAAAAACTAAACTGAAACATTCTCAGAAACCGCTTTGTGATGTTTGTGTTCCAGCCACAGAGTTTAACATTGCTTTTCATAGAGCAGTTTTGAAATATTCTTTTGGCAGAATCTGCAAGTGGACATTTGGAGCGCTTTCAGGCCTGTGGTGGAAAAGGCCTGAAAGCCTTTTCCTTTATCTTCACAGAAAGACGAGAGAGAAGCATTGTCAGAAACTTCTTTGTGATGATTGCATTCAACTCACAGAGTTGAAGATTCCTTTTGAAACAGCAGTTTCGAAACACTCTTTCTGTGGGATCCGCAAGGGGATATTTGGACCTCTTTGAAGGTTTCGTTGGAAACGGGATAATCTTCACCTAAAAGCTAAACGGAAGCATTCTCAGAAACTTCTTTGGGATGTTTGCATTCACCTCACAGAGTTGAACTTTCCCTTTGATAGCGCAGCTTTGACACACTTTTTCTACAATGTGCAAGTGGCTATTTAGCGGGCTTGGAGGACTGTGTTGGAAAAGGAAATATCTTCTCCTAAAAACGACATAGAAGCATTCTCAGAAACTGCTCTGTGATGATTGCATTCAACTCCCAGAGTTGAACATTCCTTTTGATAGAGCAGTTTGCAAACACTCTTTTTGTAGAATCTGCAAGTGGAGATTTGGACCGCTTTGAGGCCTGTGGTAGTGAAGGAAAGAACTTCATATAAAAACCAGACGGTTTTCTTTTCTTTTTTTTTTTTGAGACGGAGTCTTGCTCTGTTGCCAGGGCTGGAGTGCAGTGCTGAGATCTCAGCTTATTGGAACCTCTGCCTCCCAGGTCCAAGCCATTCTTTCTCCCTCCTCAGCCTTCTGAGTAGCTAGGATTACAGGTGCCCACCATCATGCCCAACTAATTTTTGTATTTTTAGTAGAGATGATGTTTTCTACAAAACGTGTGTTTGGAAACTGCTCCATCATAACGAATGTTCAGCTCCCTGAGTTAAACTCCATCGTCACAAAGAATTTTCTGAGAGTGCTAC